>NC_000004.12:83769865-83921381 GCF_000001405.40 Homo sapiens | reverse complement strand
TGCAAGACTCCTCTCAAAAATAAAATAAAATTAAATTAAATTAAATAAAATTAAATTAAATTAAAATAAAAAATAAAATAAAATAAAATAAACTGCTTAGTCCAGTATTCAATGGCTGTCCCCTATCCTTCTATCCCTGTCCCCAAGTCTACCTTTCCAGTTTCATTTCTCTCTGCTGTCTTCATTCACCCACTAATTCAGTAGTGTGGCATTCGTTAATATTCATCATGCAGGATCTGTGCGTGGGATTTCCTGTTCCCTTGCTCTTCTCCCACTGTATCTCCTTTCCTACCCCCATTTTATACAGCCAAATCCTGTCTGCTTAGCCTTCTCTGATTTCCTCCAATGTGCTGATCCCTCTTCTATATCTATATACCTTATGACATTTTCATCTTGTATGATAGTTATATATATCTCTTAGACTTTAAATTGTTTTTATAAATTCCCTGGAAGTGGAGTCTAGGTCTGATTTTGTTTTGACATCCCCCTTAGTACCTAGCACCGTGACTGACACATTGTATCCATTTAATACATATGTATTGATGTATTCCATTCACAAATGAATCCTAATTTACTATTCTTAAAACATCATAAATTTATGTTTTCAGACACCTACTTTCACCTATTCAGATCTTGAAGCATTCTAAATTCGAACAGATGTTCGGTGACAGCTGGGAGAAATTACACTGCAGATACCAAATCATCAGCACAGCTCTCAGGATCACATCTTCACCTGGTTATGTGTTCTGGACAGCTGTGCCTTCTTGGAAATGCACTTGGCTTCAGGAGCGAGCTCTGTTTGTAATACCCTTATAACATTCCAGAATAAACATGACAGGCCTTGATGTAGAGTAGAATATGTGCAAGTCCATGATCTATTTATGTTCTCAGGGGATTAAGGGGGGGCTCATTTTGCATTTGTAAAGATGTTTCTTATCTCAAGGCCTCAGTCAATTTCAGATCACTGTGATTTTACTTTTAGTAAAAAAAAAAAAAAAAAAAAAAAAAAAAAAGTTCAGATAGCCTGTGATGGGGAAAATATGAATATAAGGAAAATGTATAACTCAGCATATGCTGGAGGCCAGAAACAAGACCAAATGATGCATAGTTAGGCTCACTTTTCCTGAATTGGATGCATGTTCTGCATCCAAATGTGCATTAAATTTGGCTATTGCATCGTTTTTTATACTTGTCTGCCCTGAAACTGTTCTTTCCATTCTCTTGGGACTATGGCCAAAGGTAGAACATTAGTGAATATCCATGTTACCTAATCTCCTGTGGTATATTTTATTCCATGCCCTTTGTTTTCTTTCTTTCCTCTTGATTACTCATATGTACCCCATTCCTGTACTCTATGTTGGTAGGGGTAGGTGGGGGAAGAAAATAAATATGCCCATGGTTGTCCTAGTAGATACCAGTTTATAAATAGTACTGGTTTGAGTGTGCACTGGTTTTCTGAATACAGGGAGGTCAAAAAAAAAAAAAACATTTTCTTTTGAAATGAAAAAAGGAGGTTAAAACAAGAGTTCTAATAACAGGCTTAACACAGAGCAGTAATACCAGCATGAATTACCCTTGGTACCAGACTTTTATTGGAAGTCCTAGATTGCTTTGTTCCTGTCCCTGACATAATATTCAGAGTTGGGTTTATATTTGTCCAGAACGGAGCTGCTTGCTGCAGTCCATGCAAATCAAATGCTTGATTTATGTACCATTTTACTGGAGGGTATAGCATTAAATTTAATTTTGTGAGGGAAGCCTGAGGTGCTTCAATGCCTGGGCCTGACATTGTGAACTAGGTAGAGAGGTGCACAAAAATTCATTACAGTTTCCAATATGCGAAATGCAGCATTTGAATGAAACATTTGTCTCTTGTCAAAAAGGCGTCATGTCTATTCTTGGATAAATATTTCCACCCCACCCCTCAGGACACAAAAGCACATTTTTGGCCTTCATCACAGATCTTAATAAAAGAAGAGTGACTACAAGTATTTGGGGGACTCCAGGGACATCAAGCAACATGTGTCTGTGAAATTAAGAATTAGTAGTGATATCAACACAACTGTCTGTACCTTGACTGTTGAATGTTGCAGCAGAAAATTGGTATACCTATACTAATTAGCTATATGAGAAATTTGTGACGTTTTTCATCTTTAGCTAGATACTGTTTACCAATCTTGTTGCTCATTACCGGTTGGCTTCCTTTTCTATCCCCTACAGCACCTATTCAACACTTGACTGCACTCTTCCCAGTATCCTAACCTCACCGCTAACTCCTGGGTCGCAGCAGAAATCCTGTCATTCACCTCCCCAGGAGACTCAGGGCCATCAGGAGTCAACATCCCTAGCTTTCCTTCCACATGCCTCATACTCTTTGTAAACACTGTTGATCCTCCATTGCTCATGGAAGACAGTCTTTAACCTTGTTACCCTTGAGCATGCAGGTAAATCCTTTAGTAACCTGCCCTGTCCTTCCTTTCCAGCCTCATCTCCTGCACACTCCCCATGCACTAAGTGTTCCAAAACATACCTGGGCTCACCTGCTCCCTCTGCCAGGAATGACCTTCCCCTGTTTCACCACCAGCAAAATCTGCTTCTCCGTGAAGCTCTTCTCTCTCAAAAGAGGCTTGCTTACACCATTCATAGCACTAGTATAAAAATAATAGCACATTTAGTTGAAGTATGCCCAGTTTTAAGTATATCTTATTTAATTTTGTATCATCCAGAGCACCTGGCACAGAATCTGGTACATAGTAGTTACTGAATAAATGCTTCTAGAATTAAATTGAGTTAAATGATCACTATGATAGTAGGAGGAAAATAAATGAGTATGAGGCAAAGAGAATTTATATCATCTCAATTTTTCCTACCTTTTGCCAAAGAAATATAAGATGAGCCCAATCGTAGACCCAAACTTTTATCTTTAGGAATTCTAGGTTTGAGACCTAACAGTGACATAAATCAGTTGTCCTTTTGAACTTGTTCTTTAATTATTGTATATGTAGCTGTTCCTATTTGTGAAATAAATATAAATGGACAAAGTCTTAAGCATATTTTAATTTCAGTTTCTTGAAAGTTTACATGAAAAGAGAATTTGTTAAAAGTTTCCCCAAGGACCCTTTTCTTACAGAAATGCCTCCTACAGCATTCTCTTTGTCAAAATAGTCAGAAATGTTGATATTCATTTTTTTAATATGTAAATAGTATAAGTCTTTTAGACTCAGAAAGGACTAAAGAAAGGCTCTACTATGTTGATTGATAAAAATTATTTTAAAATCACCTAATCCCATGTCTGAACTACATTAAGCACTATGCTGTCAGGTTCAAGCCCAAGCTGAGATCCAAGAGTAGTGGGTGGGTAGGTGGTGGGTAGCTGGAAAAACACTTGAGGAATCTTAGGCAGTTGTGACATGGCTTTATTCTCTCTATGGGGGCCAGCCGTATGTATATTGTCAGCAGGATAGTTATACCTTTTACAGACAATAGTGGCTCCGAGCCAAGCACAAGTTCATGTGAGTGGTTACCTAATGTGCCTCACGTGACGTGGTTACATAATGTGTGGGGTTGTGCGCCTGTGCTGCAAACCCGCTGAGTCATTCTGCACTGGAAGGCCGCCTCAGCCTCCTCCTGACTAAAGTGCAGCCATCTTTCTTACATATGCCTATCAAAATTCCATTGAAATATGTTTATTTACATTTTGTGTTGCCTATTACTATGACACCTGGGAGACCAACTTTCATTTTGGGCTTCAAATGAGAGTGAGAATATGCTAGCTTCCAATCCATGTCTCCGTTCAATGAAAACCACAGAGCACAAAGCACTTGTTCTTAAAAATGCCAACTAGAAGCAATAAAATTAACATTCAAGACTATATGGTCATTGGCCAAAAGTGATCAAAGGGACCCCAGGGTGGTGTGTAAGTCTATGGACTGAAGAAACCAGGTCAAAAAGGAAGGACTTATTGAAATGTTATGGCCTCAAATACTCATTCATAACAAAATTACCTGTCAATTAAATATTACCCTATCCCTTAGCTTTATTCTCCACCCTGAAATCTTCAGCATACACAAACACACTTACACACACACACACGTGTGTGTGTCCCAATTTGAATCTCATTGAAACTTATAAGAGTTTTCAGGGTCTCTTGTTGTCTATTGGGAGGAAAGTGAAAAGCAGATCCCAGCTACTGAAACACCTATGAAGGAAGGGAATGCTACACCTGCATTCTGAAATCCAATTGCAACAGCTACTCAGAATAAAATAATAGACTAGAAATCAGAAGTCTAGGATCAACTTTGCCATGGAGTAAACAAAACATGTCAACTTAGGCAAGTCATTTTGCATTCTGAGTCAGTTTCTTCATCTTATGCTGGGGACAGTTAGAGACAATATTCCTCTACACTATGGAGAAAAGGTATTAGAGGTAAAGAGAGGTGAAAAAAAGACTGGAAAGAGAATAAGCAATACAGTGAGGAACCTGTCTTAATGGATAGGTGAAGGAAATTAAGATAGAATGGTAGTGAAGTAGAATGGTAGATTCTTGAAGTTGTCAAAAGTGAAGCTTAAGAGTTAAGAAGCTAAAACAAAGGAACCTCCTTTGAAACAAAGCTTTAATCTGTTAGTCTTCCTATTTAACTTAAGTGTTGGCAGAGAAGTGTGTTAGGTTCTTGAAAAGAAGCATAGAAGGATAAAAATAATTGAAATACTAGTTGCCAGGGCCTAAACTTGGATAGTGGCAAGGATTAAATTGCAAGCTATTAAAGGGGGTCAACTCCCCTCAGACTCAAGTCATCCCCTGTAATTGGGCTGTTTCCATAGATTTTCTAGGGAATTTGAGTTGCTGTGCAGTTAAACCTTCCCTGTGGTCCCAGATTCTCTTACCATGCAAACTCAGACTGAATCCAATCTCCTCCCATTTATCTAGAGTGGGAATGATGTATAGATGGTGTAGCCCTTTTAAAAAATATGGCTAATAGGATAAACCAGCTTCCATGTAAACTAAAATCAGATTAGTCTCAGAAATAAAATTTTTAGAGCATTTACTTAAACCCATGAAAGAATCGTCTTTCTTGATTTGCACATTTCTTTCATGCATTTCTTAATGACCATTATACAAAAGAGGAAAACTATTAATTGATATTTATTGAATATTTTCTATGTGCCAGACATTGTTCTAGGTGCCTCTCTCTCATTTAATCATCACAAAATCTCTAGGAGGCAGGTACTACTGCCATCCCCACTTTACAGATACTCTGCGCAGACAGAGTAAGTAATTGGCCCACGTTTACACAACAGATCAGTGACAGACCTTGGGGGGGATCCAATGCTGGGGTGTGAGCACAGAGTGCTTGTTTCTCACTTCTGAAAGCACTGCCTGCAATCTGTGAAAGGTTGGCCTCTCTGGGAAGCACAAGTTTTCTCTCCACATCTACCCCAAAGACAACAATTGCTGATAGGTCAGGTCACTGGAGACTAAGAATGTTACAAAGGGTGAAGATTTGTGTTACCCTTATAGCAGAATGCCTTATTAGAGATTAAACTTGTTTTTTTTTTTTGTTTGGTTTTGTTTGTTTGTTTGTTTGTTTGTTTGTTTGCAGGGTGGGAGGTTTTTTGTTTTTTTTTTCTTTTTCTCTCTCCAAAGAATTCCATGTCAGAAACTCACTTTTCAGGTATGGAAGGGAGAAAAGCTTGAGGTCAGCTTTGTAACTTGTCAGGGGTGCTGGGGGAAGAACAGAACTCAAATCAGGCAGGCGTCACTACAGACCTGTTCCCAGTGGCACACAGGGGGTGGAACTGTTCCTAGTGTGGGCAATGGGGAGTCTGTACAGAATTTAAAAACAATAATAAAACCAAATAGAAGTTAGTCTGCTTTTTACTATCACAGTGCACTGGCAATTCTAAACAATGGCAATAATACTCTCCCCAGAAAATTCTTTTTGTTGGTCTATGTTTAAAACAATTGCTGCAGATAGGATTGAACTTTAATAATATATATAAACTTCAAATCATCACATTTGTATCACTTATCCTTTGATAAACATCATATTCTACAAAAGTTAATGCAGAGAACTTTTAATTGTACCACTTACTGAAGCTTGCTTTGGCCACAGTTTGTCTCCAACCCCTGTGGTATTACATATGCATGTCTTTAAACAGTAGATTCCAAATAAACTATAATAGCACAGTAGTTGTAAAGACAAAGAAACAGAACTTCAGTTAGTTCAATTACGTAACTCATTCTTAAGCAATGGATTAAATAATGCCAGTATTCACTAGTGTCCAGCCAATTCTGATTTTTGCAAAATACTAAAGACCTCAGAAATATTTACAGAATAGAGTAAAAATTTATGATAAATTTTATGCTAAAGATTTTTAGTGGAAAATTTTCAACTGCAGAGACATTTTCAAGCTTCTAAAGTTGATTTTGAGGGAAAAACAAAATGGGTAGTATTACAATTTCTGAAATTTTTGTGAAATGGGATTATTTAGGAACTTCTGACATGTGTATTCTTATGTTTAAGCCTTTTCCTAATTATTTTAGATATCTTGCTTTACGTAAAAGAAATGTTTCAAGTCACAAATTAATTAAAAAGTGTTATTCAATAAACTATGAGCAAAAATAGATTGACACATCTGACCATACTGTGTACTGAACATGCATATGCAGAGATCAATCAACATCATTGACAAATTTTCAGAAGTTAAGGCTTAAAAATAGACTGTAATGTTATTATTCAATATTATCACATGCAATATTTTTCAAAGAACATGTCAATAATTAAAATACTTTAATCTATAATTTTATCTCATTTTTGTACCATATTTCATTTTAAATGTTTTAATTTAATTTTATACAGACATATTATATATTATAATTATTATATATAATTATATAGCTATATATAATTATAATAATTACATATATTATCTACCCACCTTGGCCTCCCAAAGTGCTGGGATTACAGGCATGACCACCACACCTGGGCTAATTTAATTTTTATAGGCATGATATTATATATAATAAATATATATATTTATAAGCACGATATTACATATAATAATACATATAATATCATGCCTGTAAAAAGTTAAATTAGGGTGGGTGCAGTGGCTCACACTTGTAAATCCCAGCACTTCGGGAGGCCGAGGCGGGCGGATCACCTGAGGTCAGGAGTTTGAGATCAGGCTGGCCAAATGGCAAAACCCTGTCTCTACTAAAAGCACAAGAATTAGCTGGGTGTGGTGATGCACGCCTGTAATCCCAGCTACTTGGGGGGCTGAGGCAGTAGAACTGCTTGAACCTGGGAGGCGGAGGTTGCAGTGAGCTGAGATCACGCCACTCTGCTCCAGCCTGGGCGACAAGAGCAAAACTCCGTCTCAAAAAAAAAAAATTAAGTAAGTAATTAGATAGATGATAGATAGACAGATAAGTTTTTTAAATGTCAACCCCTACATTTCTTTTCTGGTTCTTATTAATTTTTGTTTCATTTTATAACTGTTACTGAAAATAATTTTGTCACATAGAGGCGTTATTAAAAATTATTTTCTCAGGATATTAAGTATGATGGCTCCTACCCTACCCATCTGAATCCAAAATGTGAGACTGAAGGATCACAGCCAGATAGAACACCCCCCTGTAATTGGATCTCACCTATTTCTGTACTTCCAAAATGCTGTCTGCCAGAATTCCTGGTCACCCTGATACAACGTACCCTGAGATGTTAACACCCAGGAAAACTTGGACCCTAGCAGGTTACCAGAAATCTAATGAAGATGGAGGAACAGGTGTAGTTTTAATTGAGCCTCATTGCCTGCACTAAAGAATACATACATGTTATTGCATCTGGAATTTTGGTCCTGGGAAAACAGAAACCTTTTTCTTAAACACATAAAGGATTAAACGTCTAGGCTTTGGCGAAGGTTGACTCTCCTTGGATTTACTGTTTCTCTTACATAAATATATTTGGCTACTCTCCTGAGAATTGTAGTAGTCCAACTGCTCATGTCTTAATTGGAGCCCAGAAATCCCTTCTATTAGGAAATTGTACCCCTTGGGACAGGGATACAAATCTGCCTCTTTCTTTTCCTTTGTTTATTTTTCTTGGCATTTTGTCACTTTGGATTGGCTAGAAGATGGCAACAGGACATATCAGAATCACTTAGGGAAATTTTACCACCTATACACATCATAGACTTACATCAAATCGTCAAGGGAGAGTACATGAGTGAAATTTGAAAAGTTGCCCATGTTGAGAACAATTGATTCAAAGTATTGTATTTCAAACTACAGGTTACGCTCTATTAGTGGGTCATGAAATTAATTTTTTGTTGGTCACAAGCAGCTTTTTTTTATTATTTTAGATTCAGGGAGTACATATGCAGGTCTGTTACATGGGTATATTGTGTGATGTTGAGGTTTGGGCTTCTAATGGTCCTGTCACCCAGGTAGTGAACATAGTACCCAGTAGGTAGTTTTTCAACCTTTGCCCTCCTACCCACTTTTGGAATCCTTAGTATTGTTCCCATCTTTGTGTCCGTGTGTACTCAGCGTTTAACTCCCACTTATAAGTGAGAACATGAGGTATTTGGTTTTTCTGTTTCTGAGTTAATTCACTTAGGATAATGGCCTTCAGCTGCATCCATGTTACTGCAAGATACATGATTTCATTTTTTATGGGTGTGTAGCATTCCATAATATATATGTACCATATTTTCTTTATCCAGTCCACCATGGATGGGCACCTGGGTTGATACCATGTCTTTGCTATTGTGTATAGTGCACAAGAAACAATTAAAAATATAATTGAATAGAATAAAAATAATCAGAGTGCCTCATTTGCAGTATGGGAAAATACTGTCTTGGAAATTTACAGAAATGTTTGTTTAAACTGTGTGTGTGTGTGCATGTGTATTGGGTGGCAAAGTAAAATATGTTTCTGACTGTGGGGCATGTTAAAAAATGTCTGCAAACCACTGACATTGAGGGCCCAGTGCTGGATGGTAGGCTCAGGGAGTGGCCAAGAAAGTCATCCTCCTACTTTCTACAAAGGTTCTGAGATTTTACCTGCCTTTGCGGCAGGGACACTGTAGCTCCACATGGTTCCATCCAGGTTTCCAAAACCCTGTCTTTGACTTCTCCCTAAGAAACTTGAGAGGCTAAAAGGAGACAGATGGAGGAACATTCCTGGTCTCTCTAAGGATACCCAACAACAACAAATCTGCATCCACACTAAAGCTATTAATGAGGAAATTGCTCATTTTATTATTTCTTGTTCTCTCATGGACTGTCCAACTTGAAGAATTTCTTTAAAAAATTAGAGGAAAGGAAGCCTTCATCTATCTGATGAATTGGTAGGGTGTTCTCCCCTTTGGCTATGACTGCTGCAAGGCTCCAAGGCTTCTGGAGTGTTTGACGCTTGTCATCGTGGTGTGATTGCAGCTTCATTCTTGCCTTAGTCTGGACTTTCTTTCCTGTATTGTGTTGTGTTTATTCCATTCTAATGATAGGTGTCCAAATCTCTTGAAAAAAAAAAAAGATGTGTTTGGGAAATATAAATATTCCTCCATTGGGCAGGAGGGATTCTATAGCTGGGACTAGCTTGGACAATTCAGAACTCAATTCAGTATTATTGATTTACAAGATGTAAGAAAAAGCAAGCAAAAAAAAAAACAGAAAACACGATTTTAAGGTGGACTTTTAATGCCTGCTTACCTCTAAATAATAGGTTTTTTTCTTTTCTTTCGTTTATTCACTCCTAAATTCATGCCATGTTGGTGACTGCATACTCTCTCCCACCAAACTGCAAGACTTGCTTTTTTCTGGATAAAAGAAGGATAGAGTTAGTAGAGGAGAACCAAGGCAGCCCAAGAATTAGAAGCTGACATATTAAAAAGTTGAATCACGAAAATTTGCCATGGACAAATTTTCCATGAAAAGGGGAAGAGGGGAAATTTTGATAATATGCCTTGTCCCCTTCCCTGACAGATTTTTCTCCACAGTAAAATAACCTTCTAATATACTATATCATTTACTTTTTTATTTTCCTATCTCTCTCTTCTACCTAAAATATAAGCTCTATGAGAGGAGCAGGGATTTTTTTCCCTGCTGCTATACCCCCAGCACCTTGCACATAATAGATGTTCAATTAGCTCCAGAATCCACACTTTTAACCAACATTCTGTTGTTCTTCTTGAATCTATTAGTAGTTTCTGCCACCCCACCTTCAGCCAGCCCCATAATAGCTAAGCTGCTTATTTACTTGAGTCTGTCAGGCATGAACCTGTATAATATCAAAAAGAGGGAAGAGGATATGTTTTACACTGAAGAATCCTAGTTTGGGCAAGACTTTTGCATTTCCTCTAAACTTTCCTCATGCTCCAGCTAGTCTCCAAATACCACAAAGGAACCTAGCTACTGGCCATGAGACCAGCTATTCTGCCAGCAGCCAGGGTCTCCCCGCAGCCCTGTATGCACAAGAACAGCTGCAAACACAAACACAGCTGTTGGGTTTAATGGACTATTTCTCCATTTCTCCTCTTCCTCATTTCACCTGCAAACAAACTGTAGAGATCAAAAAAGTAATTCAAATGTACTACCATTAAAGCCACACAGTAAGTTGGAGCTCTGGTCTTCCTTCCCTTGTGTTTCATCAAAAAGAACTGGCATGTGGAGATAAATAAATGTTCAGTTCATTTTAGAAATCCTGATCACTGAGAGAACAACAAGGCAGTGGCAAAACCTCCCAGATATTAAGTCAGAAAATCTAAGTTCTCATCATACGTTGGAGACTCCTGTAACTTTAGGTAAGTCAAATTCTTTCTGAGGCTCAAGTTTCTGGTCTGCAACAAGCAAATGATATCCTCAATTACCTCAGATGGTTGCTGAAATGGCAAAGTTAAACAGTATGTTGTGAGAACATAGGGAACCACAGAAATACAACATAATATCAGATATTAACCTTCCTTGAAATCTAGATAGATAGATAGATAGATCGTTCAGAAGACTACAAGTATGTAGAAAGGGCAGGAAAAACGGCAGATGATTATCCAAAAGTATGTTTGTAAGACATCAAAATAATTTTCTACCTTCCTAAATTTGCCAAATGAGATCTTTAATAGCACTATTAAGTACATTGCATATTATTTTCTTCATTTTAGGGAATGAGGCTTAGAGAACATTAATTTATTCAACGTACATTCATTAACCACCTCCGATGCAAGCACTGAAAGTTAAGCTTTTCCAAGCCAACATTTCTTTCAAGCAGCAAAATCAGAATTCACACTCAGGTCTGTTTGTATCATATTAACAAACATGATACAAAATGTCTGGAAGCTGTAAGGAACATTAGAGTTCATTCATTCCCAACCCTCTACTCCAAGCAAGGATAGAGAGAAAGATTCTTCGCATCATTAATAACGCAGATGCAAGCATAGATAGGTTGCTGATAACAATCTCAGATGAAAAAACCAACATACGGGATGACAAGGCAGAATGTGTTAGTTAATCAAATTTCTTAATCATTCACTGGCCACCTAGGCTGAGCCAGGTAATAATATGGTAGGTGATTGTGCAGGTACAAACATGTAACAAATATTTCCCTACCCTGGAGATGTACCAAAGCTAGGGGGCAACAGACGGAGGAAAGGACAAAGACATCCAAGGACACCCGAGGATCATCCTTGACCAACTTGTTTCTCAGCACAGGAGAGACAGTCCTTGGGAATAACTTTACATGTGTTGTGGTCGTTGTTTTTAATGTGTGTGGGGAGAGTGAGAGGACACTGGCATTTTTAGTGAATGAAGCAAGTCAATTTTGTGCTGTTGATGTAAAGGTCATCCCATAGGTACATTGTGTAAGGCCTGGGGGAAAACGTCATATTAAAAATAATCAATGTTTGGCTGTATATACTAACATTTGATTAGCACTTTAGGATTCCCAGAACACTGACAAATGGATTATCTCTTTCAGGTTAAAACATTATAATTTACAAAAAAACCTGGATAACTTTCTATGCAGAAAATGAAAATACAGAAATTCTGTTCTCTTGCTTCACTTTTCTTCTCCATACAAAATCAACCCTCCTTAACTCATCCCCTCAAGTTTGCCAACGTTAATCATTTCCTATTAAATTCCATTGGAGACAGGGGGCATAGAGAGAAAACGTATGCCCTTGCCCTTTAAAAATAAATATATATATATATATATATATATATATATATATATATATATATATTCTGAAACATATGTGGCAGGCAGCTCAGAGAAATGAGTCACATTTCCATATGAAGATTGAGGATTATCAGTAAACTTGATGAAAGCTAAATTCTCTTTCCCAGGCATAACTGCCACACAGGAGCTTCTCTCTCTCCCCACTTCTCAATGGTTCATTATTATGCAGGTAGCAGTTAGAATTCTGCAGAGCAGGAAGGCGTAGCTAATCTCTGAAGTCCAAAGTTTGTTAAAATGCACGTAACTATACATAAGAAAAATCTTAGATTCTTCTGTTTCCTAAATGCATATGGGGAACTAGGTTTGAAATTAAAGATAAAAAAGAAAAGTGAAGAAAATTGTTGTTTCTCTGGGTGTCATATATTCATCAGGATAGAGCTGCAGAACAAATTCGATGAAATAAAATTAGTGTTTATAAGTCAATGTGAACTCTAAAAAAGCATCTGAACACAGAATTTTCCATGGACATTTGGAAACACTTAGTTTCTCAGCCCCAACTCACTAATGCAGGTTCAATGAATATTAGTGAAGAGGAACCACCAAGGGGTAAATGGATCTTTAATTTTTATTTCCACTCTCCTTTTTTCATCCCCCAAAATGGCCCTTTCGGGAACATCACACACCGGGGCCTGTCGTGGGGTGGGGGGAGAGGGGAGGGATAGCATTAGGAGATATACCTAATGTAAATGACGAGTTAATGGGTGCAGCACACCAACATGGCACATGTACACATATGTAACAAACCTGCACGTTGTGCACATGTACCCTAGAACTTAAAGTATAATAATTTTTAAAAAATGGCCCTTTCAATGCCTCCTTAACAGTTCAAACAGATGTCTTATCCTTTGTGCCCTGTACTTGGAATCATACTTGTTAGCCTACTTTCATATAGAATGCTTTAGAATTGGCGTTGTCCCGGAAGTCACTGATTACTTTAAAAGGATACTTCCATGCCTGGAATAGGATGGCCCAATCCAGGCATAACAAGAGTGGCCACTGAAGGAGATTTCATCTGAAAGCAAATGGCAGTCACTGATGGGTATCAAGAATGGAGACATAAAGAGCAGGAGCTCATTCAGGAGGGAGGTTTACAGTGAAGAGAAGGGAATGAGCATTTATGGAGTGTCTGCATGAGGTCTGCTGCTTCGCTGCATTTTCTCATTCAATTCTTACAACTCTTCAGGTGAACATTATTATGCTCCTTTTTATAAATTAATTCTATCAGCAAATATATATATATACTATCTATTACATACATAGACATCTATTTTTATTCATCGTTGATAAGTAAACAAGACTAGAAGGTCCTCTCCCTTACGGATATTATTAGATAATATAATTCTAAAAGGCTTCATATCTAGAAAACATGTATGCATGTGTATTAATAAAGGGCTATTAAATCAGTGACTATACACTTCTAATAGCCTGATGCACATTCCATACCTTTGGAGTTCTTTGTCAATTGTAAAGCAAATATGAGAGTTTCATTTGTGGGATATTATTAATTATATTGGGATATCTCCTGATCTGAAAAATGGGGATAAGAATACTTACTCATAGAGCTGCTTTAAAGGTTGCAGGAGACAACAAATATATGTTTATGGGCTCAATAAATGTTATTTGCCCTTCCATTTTGCTTTATTTCTCTTCCAAGTTATTCAAGTTATTCTCAAGTTTCTCTTCCAAGTTATTCTCTTCCAAGATATTGGTAAATGCCATTTACCAATAAGTAAAATGCAATCTGAGAAGCATTTATATTGGATTCCCATAAGGGGAAAATGATTAATTTCTTAAGCAATGAAAAGATATATTTTGAAGGAGCCTTACCTGTGAAATGGTCTCATTGGCTGACATCCATGAACAGCATTAGAGAAAAAAATTGTTGAATCTAAAAAACATATTTTATGCTTTCATACCACTCTGTAATTTTTAAAAACCTGAAATTATAGGGCAGCTTTATCACAGCGAAGTCTTGCCCACATTCTTCTTCTAATATGTCTCAAACTTATAGTTTCAGGAAAAACATGAGAATGAAAACAGCAATATTTGGTAAACACCAAAATATCAGTGATGCTACCTTTAAGAAACATTTAATAATAAACTTGTGCTGAACTTGTTAATAAGTGCTGTGCTTTTATTCTCATTCTCTCTGTCTGTCTCTCTCTCTCTCTCCCTCGTTCTCATTTCTGCCAATTGTCTTAAAGATGTTACAGGGTTTAAAACAATATATTGTCATAAATCTCCAAAAGATGGCGATGGAGAAAGGCATTACCAAGTTGGACTTAGGATTCTTCCCCCCAGTTAAAAAAGACACCGAGCTCCCTATTTCCTCACCAGTTTGGCTGCTTTCCCAGCAGTCTTTAGTGATGAGGAATATTTATCAGTACTTTTTCTTCTTCTTCTTGGCCAACTCTGTCAAAGAAAATTCCAAAAGAGAAGGCAATCTCAAAATAATTGTCTTACTAGAAATCAACAAACCAACAGAATCTTACTATCTAAACAACTGTTTCCCAATTTTCTCCAAAGTACAAAGGCATGCCTGTGGAGTGTTTCAGTCTATGTTCCAAGAAGCAACAGTGAACACTTTTTCCTCTTGCAATAAATATCCACAGTAGAGGCCATCAAAATAACAGTTTGGTCCAAAAAAAAAAAAAAAAAAGGTCTTTATCCTGATTACCAAAATCTTTTGAACATTTACTTTCAAAAGATGAAGTATAATTAGACATAATTATCTGTTTCTTTGTAATGTCTTCCAGGAGAGTCTAGAAAACAGTTCTGACATAGCAGTGTGACCTTATATAAATAATTGTTCCTCCTTCTGCCCATTCTTTAACTACCAACTGAGATAACTGTTAGACCATGGTTTTCAACAGGGGTTAATCCCCATTCCACCACCACCACCACCACTGCCAGCAGCAGCAGCTGCTGCAGCACCCACCCTCTGCACTCTCACCCAGATTTTGGCCATGTCTGGAGACATTTTTGGTTGTCACAACTGGGGGATGCTACTGACATCTAGTGGGTAGAGGGCAGGGATGCTGCTAAACATCTTACAATGCACAGGACAGCCCCCCACAAAAAGAATAATCTGGACCAAAATGCCAATAGTGCCAAGATGAAAAACCTTGTTAGAAGATCTATGAAGATACTTCAACACTGAACTTTTACAAAGAGTTACTGCATATGCACAAATATGTATACACACACAAATATATATCGAACCAAGGTTCCCACTTAAATAAGTCTCAGATACATCTTGATGTTCCAAACAACAAGAAGGAAGTGCAAAAATTCGGCAGCTAGCCAACTAAGCAACATACACTAAGTGTTTCCAGTAGACATAATATGGGCAGAAAAATGTCTTACAATGTAGTTTCAAATGCAATAAAAACTCAGCCATTGTGAGCCCCACCCAGAATAAATAAGGTGGAGAACATCTGAAAGAGGGAACAGCTGCATGGTCTATAACAACCTTTTACCTCAAGTCAAATCCTGATGGAAACCTAGTACTTTGCTCAAACTAAAGCAAGGTAACCGTGAAGAGAAGTTTATGAAGATTTTTAAATAATGTATTCTTCAAAGGAATTGGTCCATGGATCTGACCATATATGTATCCCATTGATGTATCCCATTATAACAGTCAGAGCAACTAGATAGCCAGATCGAAAACACATAGATCACATTTACAATAAAACTAGATGGCAAGGTATCCACATGGTGTGAATCCCCAAAATCACATAAGGTGGAAAAGCCACCAGCAGCCACAAGATGTTCATACTGCCAACATCAGTGCAGGAAAAAGCAAAGAAAAACAATACAGGTCTATGGACTAAGAATAGGAGAGCCTCAAAATAGCCAGCAGATATTACTAGAAATCTTGGCAAGCCAATTTGAGAATAGGAGATGACACTGGGACAGTTTTGCTCAATCTAATATCATGTGTGTACAAAGGACATAAGTAAATACCTAAAAGAGCTGGAGCAGTCTAGCCACTGTGCACACTGGAAACTGACCAGCCAGGTGTGTCTTTTAGGATGGGGACTCATACCGAGGAGAAATGGTGACAGTGGGATCAAAATGAAGCAGGTCAGGCATGGTGGGTGGTGCCTGTAATCCTGGCTAAGGCAGGAGAATTGCTTAAAGTGAGGAATTCGAGACCAGCCTGAGATGCATAGTAATACCCAGTCTCTAAAAAAATTAAAAGAAAAAAAAATAGCCAGACATAGTGGCACATGCCTACTGTCCCATCTACTCAGGGGCTGAAGTGAGAGAATCTCTTGAGCCCAGGGTTTTGAGGCTGCAATGAGCTATGACTGCACTACTGTAGACAACAGAGTAAGACCCCTTCTTTAAAAAATAAATAAATACAATTTTTTAAAAGTTAAGCAAGATATGGACAAAAAAAAAGACAAAGAAAAGAAATGTTTCTGATCTAGAAAATTAGCAAGAAATCTCAGAAATCAAGCTGTCATGCTTCTTGGCACAACATAAAAATAAGCAAACAAACAAAAGGAGAAGAGGGAGTTCTATAAAGTTGCACAGCTATCTGAACCAAGGCTCCTTCTAACATTCTCAAAAAACTAAATTAACATGAAAATGAGCAGCAGGAATGTATTGAAGTCTATATCTTAGATAGTTACTATAAGAGAAAAGATAAATAAGAAACAGAATAACATCCTTATAGTTCAGGTCTGCCCAATAGAACTTTTCCTGGTGATGGAAATGTTCTATATCTGTGCCATCCAACATAGTGGCTCCTAGACACATGTGACTATTGACTAATGAGCCCAGGGAACCAAATTTTAACTTTATTAAATTTTAACTAATTAAAATGTAAATAGCTATATGAGGCTAGTTGGTACTATATTGCATAGCACAACTATAGAAAAGAAAAGCATGCCAGAAAAAAAATTTCAAAAAGCAATCAAAACTGTAACATAATACTTCAAAATGATTTAAAGTCATTAAGAAAGTAATACAATATGACAGTAACATAAATCAAAATTAGAATAATTGACTGAGATAACACTCAAGAAATAATTAGAAATTAAGAAACAATTATTTTAAAAGTGAAGACTTAATTAAAAGAAAATGAGTAAATAACAATACTTTGAAATAAATAGAAGAAAAAAGGAGAAAAAAATTAAACATCAAAAGCAAATGAAGAAAGAGATGAAAATGATGTGGGAAAAGAGAGAAATATTGAAGCAGTTAAGAAGACCCAACACACGGATAATATGAATACCTGAAGAAGAAAACCAGTATTGATAAGCACTAAAACAAATTCTCAAGAATATAATTCAAAAACAAATTTCTGAAATAAAAAAGACTTGAAACTACATATTGAAAATGTACAATATATACTTGAAAATATAAACCCAGAATAACAAAAAGCAAGAAATAAATATTCTTGTAAAAGAACAGGAATTTAAAGAAAAAATTCTTTTGGAATCTGGACTAAAGAACATATGACTTACATAATTGATTGGATTATTAGTCTGTCATTAGACTTTTCAACAACAGTTTATCCCAAAAGAAAACTGAATAACTGATTTAAAACACTCAAGAAAAAAAGTGCACCAAATATTTTATATTCAGAAAAACTAACATTCAAATATACAGGAGACAGACAGCAAGCGATAATAGTTCAGTTTCTATTCTCCTCACGAGTACTTCTCAAGGAATCTACTACAGAACAAGCTTCAAACAACCAAGATCAGTAGAGACTGGTGAAAAACATTAAGTATGTAGCAATTTATAGAATTAAGTGAGGATTAAACGGGAGAAATTATAGTATGTAATGGCTATGTGATCTAATAATACAAATCCAGTAAAATTATTAAAAACTGTGGGGAGTACAGGACTAACATATATAAAACAAATGATAACCTGTTTTCAGTTTTTTTAGAATTGGCAATGGTAGTATTAGTATTGTTGTTCTCACCCTATTGTATGTATACAAAAGGAAAACAAATAATTATGGGGTTTCCTAATTCTATTACTCCTGTGCCCTTGAGAACTAAAATTCTTGGTGCAGAATTCAGAAGACAAGGATATAATATAGATCCAGATAAATTAAAGCACACTAAGCTTAAATATAAATTGGAAATATTGGTATGAATTTAT
Source organism: Homo sapiens (assembly GCF_000001405.40). Taxonomy (NCBI): domain Eukaryota; kingdom Metazoa; phylum Chordata; class Mammalia; order Primates; family Hominidae; genus Homo; species Homo sapiens. The sequence continues at coordinate 83,903,022 of NC_000004.12, read as the reverse complement.
AAGTATTTTGTGTGTTTACACTAAAAATATTTATTTCAGTAATATTTTATATTTTTGTATTTACATAATACAATATATAATGCATATATTATTCATATTATAAAGTGCGTATGTGTGTGTCCTAGCTCTGTCCACTGAAAAGGCCAAGAAACAATGATCAACCAAGTAGAAATAAGGCTCTCTCGTACTTAGGCTGTGGTTTTGAAAAACCATCTCTATAAAAAAAAACAATCAAGCAGCAGAGCTTTTCAAAATATAGCTGTTTTCAGGTCAGCATCAGAAAATGTACAAGATGACCCTGAAACATCTTGACATATCAAATGGATAGCAAAGAGTCCATGTAAGATTACTAGGGTCATGGCAAAAGGTCTCAGAAATCAATTCCTCAGGATCTCACTGGCCAAAGATGAAACAATGTAAACTCGAATAAGGATAAGCAGTCCAACAGATTGAAAACCAAGAAATACATTTAAATTATGTTTGAAATCCATGAGTTCATATGAACCAATTGATCTTAAATTAAGTAAAAAGACAGCAGTCTGTCACTAGATAAACAAATGATAGATAAGGGGACTCACCTCCTTTAAAATCTTCTTCAGCGAATAAGAAAAAACAAAATGATAGAAAAACACTCTTTTTTAGCCCCCAGTGAAGGAATACATTTAAGTATTGAGACTTAACAGCCGCTGACATCACAAAGAAACAAAAACCAGATTTGATATGTCTCTCAGTGAAGTGACACAAAACCAAAGGGATCAAGCCTGAGATGCAGCTGACAACGTTTAGGAAATCAAAGTGGTAGAGTAAGTTATTAAATTGTCCCTTGAGTGTGCCATTAGCAAAATCTAGACTGCAGGTAACTCTGCAGCTAAGTAACCCAAGTCCTTCAACAGGTAAGTTATGAGAAAGTGAAAGGGTGAAGGGGGCCTATAGGATAAACAGGACTTAAAAGAGACGTCAAGTTAAAAAGGAATGGGCAAGATTAAACTGTAGTATCCAAGGACTGATACTTGAGTAATAAACCATAAGGAAATTCAAGTAAGTAAAAATAGGGACTAACAGAAAGTAAGAGAGGACATTGTAATTAGGATCAGGTACCTAAAGGAACTTCTGTAGTGACTGGAAATATTCTGTTTCTTGGCCTGAACAGTGGTTACAATGATCATTGGCTCAAAATAATTCATTAAGCTCTACACTTGTTTTGGATTTTTTTTATATCTATGTGCATGTGTGTGGGAATTTTAGGCATGGATTTTCTAGAAGAATAGAAGGAACTTGAGTTTGACTATTTCCACCCTTTCTGCTAAAATGAGGTAACAAGATTTGATCCTTTGTTAAAGAGAACTTTATGGAAGATAAGACCTTAAGTCTCATCATGGTTCCACCATTACCTTCTGCAAGACATCATGAAACACTCAATGGCTCTAGTCTTCAGGTTATCTTCACCATAGCCAGGCAAACAAGGCCTGCACCATGTGGCTCAGGAGAACATTTTCAGCCTCCACTTCCATTCCACACAACTGCCAAGCCTCTCACTTCTGTTCATCATTATCCAAACATGTCTCCATATCTCTCCCTTTATGATTTCCTTAATTGTCCTTATTCTCATGCCTTTAACCCATTACCCTTTGTAATCTACTTCAAATGTCACTTCTCGGAACTCTGAGTTTAAGCTACTTTTTCCTCTGTGCTTCTAGACCACTTTGTATGTGTAGCTATTGACATAGGAGTTACCATATTTCTAACGTTGTTATGTCTGTACTCTCACTAGACAATGCGGTTCTCAAGAGCTGCATTTTCAAATCTGCAGTTCTAGTACAGAGGTTCTAGAAACATTGAATAAATGGATGGATGCATGGATGGATAGATATATAAAAACAAGAGGAGGTAGTAGAAATATTAAGTTACTTTAAAATCTAACATTTTATGATTCTTTTTTCACATTAGGTGATAGGCAGCCTTTGATAAAGTGAAGATCTCCTAGGACTTACAAATTAGTAGGAACAAAATATCATGCTGTGCTCCTGCCTCATCTGAGGAACTGGGATGTTTTCTCCTTGCAAACGCTGCAATGGATAGTACTTCTCTGGTCCTTACCATTGTATAATGACAAGTTTAGTGTGTGTGTGTGTGTGTGTGTGTGTGTGTGTGTGTGTGTGTGTGTGTGTTTTGCTTGCACCACTGTGGCTTCCTTCTTAGCTTTATGGAAATAAATGTCCATTGAGGATAAAGAAAGAAGAATTAGAAAAGAAACAAAGGGTAAAACCCAAGCCTGGACTAAATGCATAGATACAGTGTTAATCTTCATACTGGGAAGAAATGAAATTTGAGATGAAAACACAGAGAATAAGAGACAGATGCTGGTTTACATTTATTTACTTTTCCTATACCAGTCACTCAATCTAAGTTTCTTCCTCCCTACCTATGCAAATGCAGTGATGCATAAATATTCTCCCATGAAGAAAGTTACTAGTTTTATGTAACTAACTTCATTTGAAGTACCTGTAATTAGTGCCTGTAGAAGCCCATTATACATATTAAGAAGGAATCATAGTATTTAGACAAGAAAAACATAACATGTACATTTGGATAAGGACCAAATTTCCTTCAATAAGAAATAATACTATTCCCTCTGCTACACATAAACTACATTTTAAAATTCTCCTTCTGCCGAGCTGTAGTATATTACATGAACCTTACAATTTCTGCAACATTTCAATTGTTTCCTTATTTTTCTGGCCTTTTCTTGTTACTTGTTTAAAAATCTCCTTGCATTGGCCTCCTGAGCCTGTTGGAGTAATATTATGAAGCAAATGACCAGACATAATGACTTTCCAAGGTCCTTGTGCTTCCTTATTAACATTCAGGTAGCATAAGTCCTGACTTTATTATTGACTACATTGAATACACAAGACACTGACCTCTGCCATCTGCAACTAAATCTCTTCCTGCAGATCTATTGGAATGGTTTCATATATAGAGGAAGCAAGAGAAAACAAAGCAGCAGCCACTTATCTTTTCTGTCCCTAGAAACTTTAACACACTCACATCTGCAATCCAAAAAAGGAAAGAAAATCCCCCTTGTAAAATCTAGAGTGAGGGTTAGAGGAAAAATTCAAAATGGCAATCCCAGATTCAGATTCATCTTCCTACACTAAGACCACTAAATAAACAGAATCAGATATATCTGGCCACTAGAAAGCAAAATCACCAGCATATGTAATTGATTACTGAGTCTCAAAATCAACTGATAGGACCCAAGGAGTATTTTCATTAGGTCATGATCACTTTAACTTGTGTAATTATGGGAAAGTCTGCCAATTTAAGATTGTTTGACATTTCCACTTATCCCCACACAAAAGGATTGATGACATTTTCTAAGTAACGTATGAAATAGCAAATTGTCTACCTTGGTCTTGAAGCTATTGGTGAGTCTCAGAAATGGAGCCCAGAAGACAACAAGGACATGATGTACTGAGTTTTGTTCTGAAGACCTAAACTTGAGTCTTGATTCTGCCACAAACTGTGTGGTGGAAAGTGACTCCAACTCCCTGAATCTCAAATTTTTTAACTTGACAAATAAGAGGATAGTAGATAATCTCATGCCAACATGAGCCACTTATGTAGGAATTTATCACCATTCCTTTCTTTCCCTCCTCTATTAAATTGGATTTGCCTTTCTCACATTAGAGGAGCATGTAGCCCAATATATCTTTGCCACCAGAGGTGAAATGATTTAGCCATATGTCAATTTTCAGAGATGGTAAAAAGTAAACCCATGCCCATATAGGCTGCTTAAAAAGTGAAAGTTTTCTCTCAGCATACTTAATTGAGTGTTTAATAGAGACATCGATGTTAGGAAGGGCAAAGGCAGTAGAAGTGAATAGGAAGCCATGACATCACCACACCGTGGTGTATACTAACATCATCCATCCATACTTCTGAGGCTTCAGGAAGACAGTGGTTTCTCTGCTTCTCCGAAGCACCTCCTTCTCCTCATGTATCTGCATTCCTTTACCAATGCTCGATAAGAGAACAAATTCAACGAGATCTGTAGAGGACTTTGAGGTTTGTAAAGCTCTCCCAAATATGCTATCTCATTTGGCCATTAACACAACCTTTTGATTCAATTAGGTGTGAATGTATATATGCATGTGTCATTATTTTCATTTACAGATTTAAAAAACTAAGTTTGAGGGAGATTTAAACACTCTTAAAAAGTGTATATAACTACTAAAAGACTGAGCTGGAATGCCAAGCCAGGGTTTCGGATTCTAAATCTCAATTACTTTTTATTCTACAGTATGCCACTGATTACCTCAACCCCTCTGCACAATAAAAATTTTATAATTTTTATTAGGAAAAAGTTTAGGAAAAGAATCTTATCTCCCTCCTAGATTAATGTAAAAGAAATTTTAAAAATGAAAAAGAGAGGTTAATGACTTCAAATGAATATTTTGGGTACTATACTACTATACCAAAAGATGGTCAATGAAAGACAAGTAAGATATAAATTAGGAGGAAAAAATAAACTTTCATTGGTTATAACTGGCTCCACATATGAAATAATTTTTTAAATATCAAAAATTATGTTGGAATATCAAAAATTATGTTGGTGTTCTATATGGAAGATGATCATCAACTGTACTCCATTTCCTTGAAATGTTAAAAAAAAAAAAAAAAGCAAGAGGAATTGAGATTAGATGTAACCATCATTTTAACAACTTGATTTTTATTATAAAATTGATGTATGCCTAATCTTTTAAAAGGTAAAATCACAAATGAACAAAGAATAAAATTACAAACTCCCATTCTCTTCACCCAAAGATAACCATTATTATCATATTGGTAAATGTCCTCTCTGGGTTTGTTTTTTATGCATAAAACATACTCTTTTTTCTGTACTCTACATATAATTTTATACATTTTATTTTTATAGCAAATTACTATGAATATTTCTCTACATTATTGACTATTCTACAATAATATTTAAAAGGCTACATAGTATTCCCTCACATGAATATGCTGAAATTTAGTTAACTAATTCAATAGTTACATTGTCTTCAATTTTTGATATTTATAAACAGTGCTTCAATAACACCCTTGTAAAATATGTCAGCACTTTTTTATAAGTGGAGATTTGGGGTGCATCACAGAGGAGATTTCTAAACATAGAACTGCTTACTAAATAGGTAAGGAATTATAAGCTTCTTTTAACTTACTACAAAATTGTCCTCCAGAAAACTTAAACCAATGTTACTCCATTAACAACATATGAGAATACCGTTTTTTTCCCCAGCACAATGATTACTCTGTTTACTAATTACTATGTGATACGTGAAGAATATTTCACTGTTTTAATTTGCATTACTTTATCAGTGTGCAATTTTTTTCACATGTTCACTGGACATCTCTTATGAAGATATGCTAATTTTTACCCAAGAAAGAAATTTTTGACCATGGTCTATTATAGTAAGTCTGAGTTGCAGGTATTCTTCTCTCGAGTTCTCTGTAATAATCATCTAAACTAGTTTCAAGAGAAACATTCTTGAAAACAGAAAGGATAAACTTGGTGAATTCTGAAGATCTCTACCAGTCTTAAATTCCTTTCATTCATTTATTCACTTAATCCTTAGTTGAGTGTCATCTTACTTCATATAGCATTTCATAAGTTTATGTAGAGCTTTTCCATGAAATATTTTATCTGATCCTCATGATAATCCTATGAAGGCAAATATTAACCTAGGTTTATGAATGACTTCAAGAGGTACAGAAATTCCTTCAATTGTTTGTATATTTGTGCACAAGCGCATTTGCTTGCCAGAGAAAGCCAGTAGCTTTCACTGCAATCTTAAAGGCTGAAAACCAATGCCTTTGTGACGAAGAGAGGGAATCCCTTTATAGCTCTATTTTACAATTAGAGGGAAAAAAATTAATCGCCTTGTCTAAGTCTCAAGGCTAGTAAGTGGTGGCATGAGGACTAGTTTTGCTAGCTCCAAGATTAATGCAAATACTACTGCATTTTATAAGTATATAGAAGTGTTGCAGAATTATAGTATGCCATCCTTGCCCTAAGGAACCCCATGACTATTGGAAGAGCCAAGATTTATGCAATGAAAAGTTAAATAAGTTAAATAAAAAAATCACATGCCCATATGAGATTTCATAAGACTCACATCAGCCAGATGATAAAGGACTTGAATTTCAGAAATTACCTGAAAAATTCAAACTAGACTTCATAGAGAAGAGACTATTTGGAGTGAGGTTTAAAATTTAAGATGAATAGGAGGAAAAGACAATTCTATATTGAAACAGGGAAGAAAGAAAGGTAAGAGCACAGGTCCAACAGTTGCAATGTGCATGTTCCAGAGATATTCAGTAGACCATAACAACTTTGGGAGGAAATTTACACATGTATACATTGCGTTGAGTGTTGAAACCACTCAGTGTAGGTTTGTATCCTAAGTCCACCACTAGTTTGCTGTGTTACATTAGAAAAGGAGGGCTGGGGGAGGGATAGCATTAGGAGAAATACCTAGTGTAAATGACGAGTTGATGGGTGCTGCAAACCAACATGGCACATGTATACCTATGTAACAAACCTGCACGTTGTGTACATATGACCCTAGAACTTAAAGTATAGTAAAAAGTATTATAAAAATAATATAAAAAAGAAAAGAAAAGCTCTCAACTTACCTAATTTGCAGTTTGCTCACCTGGAAAATAGAGGTAATAGTACTTATTGTGAAGGACTGCTATTAAGTTTTAATGAAATTCTTTAAGCATATAATATAATACCTCTCACATAGTAGAGTGTACAAATTACCCGCTTCTCCCCTGAGAAGAAGATACATCTTAAAAATAAGTTGGACAAAATTTTAGAAAACACAGAATGCAAGGTTAAAAGTTTAGAAAAATCAATTAAGATTTCTTGCACTGCTATGGACTCAATGTGTCCTCCAAAAATTCACAAGTTAAAGCCCTAATCCTCAATGTAATGGTATTTAGAGATGGGGCCTTTGAAAGGCAATTAAGTAATGAGGGTGGAGCCCTCGTGATGGTTTATAAGAGATATGATGGTTTATAAGAGACACGAGAGCTCTTCTCCACTCTCTCTCTCTCTCATTCTCTCTCTGCCATGTTAGGATACAAGAAGGTAGCCATCTGCAAACCAGGAAGAGGGCCCTCACCAAGAACCAAATCAGCCAATACCTTGATCCTGAACTTCCCAGCCTCCAGAATTGTGAGAAATAAGTATTTGTTGTCTAAGCTACCCAATCTATGGTGATTAGTTATAGCAGCCCAAGCAGACTAAGACATCACTGAGCAGCAATAATATAATAAAAACAATATTTTATGAAGGTAAATTTCACATTTGGGGGCATGATAGATTAAAAAGTAGAGGAAAATGGAGTTGAGAAGAATGGGCAAGATAGTTCTTAAATATTCCAGGCCAAAGGAGTGGTAATGTCTAGTCTTGATGCTAGTATGAAAAGTAGGAAGGAAGGTTCAATAAAAGGAGACATTTTGAAGGATTTGATTGGCTATGAAAAAGAAAGATGGGGGAGGGAAAAAAGATAACCTTGGGTGATAATACTTAAGGATATCAGAAGTAAGAGCTAGTTCAGAGAGATGAATATTGTTTGGTTATAAACAAATTCAGTTTTAAGTGACAATAGACTGTTATATCAGTCAAGTTACAGCCAAAAACACTTGAGTTAATTTAAGCAGAAAATAATTTAAAACAGGGAATTAAATACTTAAAAATAATTGGGAGCACTAGGAGAGAGGCTTCTAAGCTGGATCTCTAGAAATAAATCCAGAAGAATACTACTAAGCTGATAAGACCCTGTCCAGGAGATGGGGATTCAGGAGGCTGCCACTAATTCTTGACTTCAGAAATCCATCACCATAACTGTGATCCAGAATCACACATGAAGCTAGTGCTGTCACTACAACTGCTCTCCACGGCCACAGAGTGAGTGAGTAGACACATTCCAGTGCTGCAGAAAGCTCAGCCTGGATCAGTGGCCATGCTTGGTCACAGCACAATGCCAAAGCAGCTGGACCATGGCCTTCCTCATTTCTTCCTGCCCAATCTCACACAAATGCATCTAGTAGGCAGAACCTCATTTGAACCCAGAAGCCTAGCTACAAGGAGTCTGGAAAATGTAGTGTTTTGTTTTGTTTCAATGTTTTTCTTTTTTAAGTTTTCCAGGCTCTGAAATTTAGGAAGACCCAATAGAAGAAAGCTGGAATGGAGATAGCGCCAAACCACCACATGCACCACAGATGTTGCTGTGTAAATATCCAGTAGATAATTGGATAAACATAACCAAAACTCATAAGAGAGATCAGAGTTACAGATAAAGGTCTCAGAAAGAATAGGGGATAGATGATGTTTGACTTGATTAATTTTCTGTTTAAATATCATACAGGAAGGAATTACAAAGCCCAAAAGACTTATAATTGAAGTTTGAAGATACCTACGCACAAATTATTGGGCTTATAACACAATGAATACCTCCAGGTGTTCATGAGGCCAGGAACAAAAAGGCAAGGGCCACGGGTATCTAACCATTGCCCACAAATAACTGACTACTGTGTAATTTCATAAGCATCAGAGTGATCCTGGTAGTTAATTCTCTAACATCCCATCTAACCCACCTAATTATTCTAAGCCAATTAAGCTAGCATTGTTCCCCTTACACATGATTGGTTTAAGAATGGACATGTGAGGCCGGGCGTGTTGGCTCACGCCTGTAATCCCAGCACTTCGGCAGGCCGAGGCAGGCGGATCACAAGGTCAGGAGACCGAGACCATCCTGGCTAACACGGTGAAACCCCGTCTCTACTAAAAATACAAAAAATAAGCCAGGCGTGATGGCGGGCACCTGTAGTCCCAGCTACTCCGGAGGCTGAGGCAGGAGAATGGCGTGAACCCCGGAGGCGGAGCTTGCAGTGAGCCGAGATCGCGCCACTGCACTCCAGCCTGGGCTACAGAGCGAGACTAAGTCTCAAAAAAAAAAAAAAAGAAAAAGAAAAGAAAAGAAAAGAAAAAGAATGGACATGTGAGCTAATTCCGGCCAGTAAGACATAAATAGTGATTTGTTTAGCAGTGTCAGGGAAGAGCTTTCTCACTCAGAGAGAAAGAGAGAAAGATACAAAGAGAGACACATGCTCTTACTTCTGGATGTTGACTTCTTCCAGTGGGTCCCCTATAACAGATGCTACCCTCTTGCCTAAGAATGAGGTAAAGATGAAAGCAAAATGTGAAAGGGTGGAGCCAAGAGAATCACACAGAAAAAAATCTAGCACCCTAGAATACTACCACAGCTGAAACTCTGTAGTCTTTTTGCCAAATTGGGCAATTTGAGTCAGAGTTTCCTGTCACTTGCAGCCAAAGGCATAATCGCTGAATCCAATACGATGTTTTTCAGGACACCATCCATTAGGTTTTTCAAGGAATAACCTTTCCTCTTTTCTAGCCTGAAATTTTCTCAACAAATAATAATCAAAATACTTTTAATGGTATAAAAAATTATATGTATGGACCACCATTTGGAGACCATGTTTATTTTTCAAGATTATTTTATTCAATTTAATTGAATCAAAATATTCAAATTTATTCTTCAAGATATAACTGGTTCCCAATTTGAGTCTAAAGTGGGTTCACTGTGGGGCTCTGACATGTGTGAGAATAGATGGTGAACTGACGGGGCAGGTGACTTCATGCATTTGTATGAATGAGCTTATTTTTAGGTGAAGGTTGAGGAAGGAGTCTAGGTTTCAGAGGAGAGGAGGGAGCATACCTGTCTCCTGACCTAGACCTATGACTCATTAATATACCCTATGGAAAACATCTGAAGAAGTAAACTGAAGAAACTGCTTCTGCAACGGATAATTTAAGACATGAGTTGCAAGCAACCCTGATTTGGTACCTAAGCAAGATGGCTAATAGTGGATAAGAGAAATGCAATGGCTATCATGGCTGCAGTACAAACTCTCAAGTAGTTTCAAGGTCAAAAGACTTAGGAAGAGGGCACAGAGCAAGAGAGAGAGAACTCAGCTGATTTTGTGTGACCATTAATGCTCGTCAACTTGTTTGTGAACATATATGAAATTGGCCTGATGCCTCAAATTATAATTGGGGAGACTTTTGAAAATACTAACTCCAGTATGATCAGGAGGGATGCAAGAACAAATTAACTAGGAGGTATTACTATTAATGCAACACGATTAGGGGAAACTAAGGCTGCGTTTTATATTCTACATTTTATCTCTGGTTTAAATATTTTTATCAAGAAGCTAAACCACGAGACTATGCTCCAATCCCAAACAGAACTGAGATTCTAGCCTTATGCCCTCAGGAATACTACAAACATCTGGAAAGCCACCATTGCTTTAATTTAAGAACACAATTTGTGTGCCTCTCTTAATAAGATTTATCTAAGAAATATGCTTTAGACCTAATGACCAGAAAAAAACATTGTCTTTCCTGAAGAATGTATGTTTTATTTTTTAAAAAACAATGGGAATACTTTATCCAATCATATTTCTCTTCTTCTTTTGGCCCAGTCTCATACTAACTTTTGCCTTGTTATTATCATCTGATGGCTCTATATTTCCCTTATTCTGCCTCCTCCACTCCTAATTTTGTTTTATAGGCATCCATGTGAACAACTGTATATCCTTAAAGGATTGAAGTGTGAAGGTGAAGGGTAAGAAGAATAGAAGGGCTATGAAAAGAAAGAAAGTTTGACTGAAAGAGAGTAAGGAATGGGGGGAAGATGAAAGACGTGAAAAGAATGAAAGAAATAAAGAGGAAAAAGAGAAGGAAGGAATAAAGAGAGGGAGGAAGGGAGAAAGCAGGTGAGGGGGAGAAGAAAGGAATAGAAGAAAAGATAAAAGCAAAAAAATAAAACAAGATAGAGCCTTTTTTTGGAAGAGCACTTCACAGTTTGCATAGCTTTTACACATATGCTTTCTCATTTGATCCTACCAATTTAGAAGAGGAAGAAATAATCAGAAAGACAATGAAATTTTCCAAAATCAAGCACTAGTAGTAATTGTTAACAGAAGACACCAAATTCACTCCTTCTGACATCTAATAGAGTTGTCTTCTCACTTGTACCATATGAAATTATAAAACACACACACACACTAAAGAACATAGTCTCCACAAGGTCTCTCATACAAGACAGTTGGTATCAAGAGAAGAGATGAAGTTTTATGTTCTCTCCGATTAGCATGGTAGAATTTTAGACTGAGTCTGGTTATCAGAAGAGTAAGCTGACCAATCAGCACTCAGAGAATCTGGCACTGCCAGGATATAACAGATGAAAGAGAATAACAAAGCAAGCCTGGAAAGCTTGGAGAGGAAATCCTGAAGACATGACAAGGAACGGCAAGCCAAAGGGAGCCTCCAGATTACTTAAGTGTTTCTTCCAACACAATAGTGACCTAAATCTGCTAAAGTTAATATGTATTTTAGTAGCAAAGGTAAGATCTAACTTTCAAATCAACTGAGTTTCTGAGTCAAACTGATAAATACCAATTCCAATTTGAAGATTGTTTTCCTGTCTTTAACAAATTATTAGACAAAAAAAAAAAAAGATGCAGAAAGTAATGGCAAGATGGTAAAATAGGAAGTACCAGCCCTCATACCCCCACAGAAACATTGATTTAACAACCATTCACAGTTGAAAATAAAAGAGCTCCAGTATCCCAGGGAGAGGTTACAGCACCTAGGTGAAGCACAAGAATGAGAAAAAATACACATTTAGAAGGCTAAGAAGAATAGTTTCACTTTACCCACATCACCTCTCCACCCAAGCCAGCATGGTACAGTGCTGAGAGAAATACCTTTGTCCCACAAGCTCTCCCATAGGGGAAGGAGAGATTGAAGTGGATATCCAACTTCCCCAACCTTTCAGGACACTGAGAGGTCCAATTTAGTTGTGCCTCACCCACAGCAGTGAGGGAATCAGTATGACTAAATCACCTAGGGTAGCTAAAAACAAAGAAAAGAGACAGAGGCTCTCAACAACCAGCACACAGAACTCAATAGCTGGCCCACTGCTCCTGGCAGCAGTCCTGCCTGCTCATGGACCTAGGCTACAGGCACACCTAGAATCTCTGGTTAGGCTGATTGATGAAAGACTTTTCCTGCTGAAGCTAGTCAGAAAGACCGGAAGAGGTAACTGCTTCTACAACATGCAGGTATCAATACATTTTTATCTACAAAGATCATGAAGAATCAAGAAAACATAATACTATCAAAGGAAAAAAACAAAGCTGTAGTAAACAGTACTAAAGAAATAGAGATCCACAAACTGCCTGGCAAAGAATTCAAAATTAAAGAACCTCAGTGAGCTACAAACGAACATAGATATAGATATAAATTTTATATATACACACACACACACACACACACACACACACACAACTAAATGGAATCAGAAAAACAATACATGAACAAAATGAGTTCAACAAAGAAGCAGAAATCAGAAAAAACAAGCAAACAGAAAACTTAAAACTGAAGAATGCAGTGACTCAACTGAAACATTTAAGAGAGAGCTTCGGCAGCAGACTGACTTGATCAAGCAGAAGAAAGAATTGGTGAACTCAACGGCAGGTCATTTGAAATATCTACTCACAGGAGTGAAAAAGAAAAAAAGAATGAAAATGGTGAAGGAAGCCTATAATATGTAAGGGATATGATCAAGTGAACAAATATATGAATTATGATCATTTTAGGAGGAGAGAGAGAGAAAAGGGAAGAATTCTATTTAAAGAAATAGCTGAAAACTTCCCAAATCTGGGGAGAGAGAGGACTATCTAAATTCATGAAACCGAAAAGGTACCAAGTGAATTAAACCTAAAGTTGTCTATATCAAACACATTATAATTAGATTGTCAAATTCAGAAACAAAGAATTTTGAAAGCAGCAAGAAAAAAGTGACTCATCACATATAAGGAAACCACAAGACTATCAGTGAATTTCTCAGCAAACACCTCCCAGACCAGGAAAGTGGGATGACATATTAAAAGTGTGGAAAGAAGGAAACTCCCAACCATAAAATCTATACCTGGAAAAAGTCCTTTAAAAATAAAAGAGAGATAAAGGATTTCCCAGACAAACAAAAACTAAGGGAGTTTGTCATCACTACATACGCTTTACAAGAAGTGCTAAAGGGAGTTACTCAAGTTGAAACAAAAAAAAAAACCATTAAATATGAAAGGATATGAAAGGTATGAAACTCACTGGTAAAAGGTAAATATATAGACAAAGATAAACATGTTAGAACTCATAAACAAATGCAACAAAGTTGCAGATACAAAATCAGTATGCAAAAATTAGTTGTGCTTCTACACACTAACAGCAAACTATCTGAAAAGGAAATTTAAAAAGCAATCTCATTTACAATAACATCCAAAAAATAAAATACTCAGAAATAAGTTGAACCAAGAAGGTGAAATATCTGCATGCTGAAAACCATAAAACACTGATTTTAAAAGTTGAAGACACAAATAAATGAAATAATGTCCCATATTTGTGAATCAGAAGAATTAATATTGTTAAAATGTTTATACTACCCAAAATAACGTACAGATTCAATCCAATCCCTATTGAAATCCCAATGGCATTTTCACAGAAATAGAAAAAACAATCTTAAAATTTGTATGGGATGACAAAAGACCCCAAATAACGAAAGCAATTTTGACTAAAAGGAACAAAGCTGTAGGCATTATACTTCCTGATTTCAAGTTATATTACAAAGCTACAATAATCAAACCAATATGATAATGACGTAAAAGCAAACACACAGCCCAGTGAAACAGAAGACCCAGAAATAAACCCATGCATATATGGTCAACTAATCTTTAACAAAGGTGCCAAGAACACACAATGGGGAAAGGACAATTTCTTCAAATGGGGGAAACTATAACCACATGCAAAAACAGAAAAGAAAAGAAAAGAAATTGGATGCTTACTTTACACCATACACAAAAAATCAACTCAAAATTGTCTAAAGACTTAAATATAAAACCTGAAATCATAAAACTCCTAGAAGAAAACATAGGGAAAAGTTTCATGACATTGGTTCTGGCAATGATTTTTTGGATTTGACACCAAAATTAAAGGCAACAAAAGCAAAAATAAACAAGTGGAACCACTTCAAACTTACAGGTTTATGCATAGCAAAAGAAACAATCAGCAAAATGAAAATGCAACCTATGGAATAAGAGAATATATTTGCAAATCATATATCTAATAAAAGGTTAATATCCAAAATATATAAAGAATTCAAGCAAATTATTATCCAATACACACATAATGCATATGAAAACCACTAAGAGATATTACATCCCACCTGTTATAATGGCCATTATCAAAAGATAATAAGTGTTGACAAGAATGTGGAAAAAAGGGAATTCCTGTACACCGTTGGGAGGAGCATAAATTGGTGCAACCACTATGGAAACAGTATGGCGTTTCCTCAAGCAATTAAAAATAGAACTACCATATGATCCAGCAGTTTCACTTCTCGGTATAAATCCAAAAGATTTATAATCAGCACGTCAAAGAGATATCTGCACTTCCATGTGCATTGCAGCATTACTCACAATAGCTAAGACATGGAAGCAACCTAAATGTCCATCAACAGATACATGAATAAAGAAAATGTGCTATGTACATACAATAAAATACTGATCAGTCTTAAAAATTTAAGAATTAAATCCTGCCATTTTCATCCACAATGTACATGAAACTGGAGGACATTAAGCCAAGTTATATAAGCCAGATGCAGAAACACAAATACTTCATGATACCACTTATCTAAGGTATCTAAAATAGGAATCATAGAAGCAGAGAGTAGAATGATAGCTGCCAAGGGCTGAGAGGAGGGGTAAACAGAGAGACATTGGTCATAGGATACAGACTTTCAGTTATGTGAGATGAATAAGTCCTAGAGATCAGCTGTAGAGCATAGTGCTTATAGTTAAAGATACTGTAAAACATACTTAAAATTTTGCTAAGAGAATAGATCTTACATTAACTGTTTTTGTCATATACACCACACAGAGATAATAATAATAGGTAAAGGATGGGGGGACTTTGGGAGGTGGATGAATATGTTTATGTCATAGATGGTGGCAATCATTTCATAGTGTGTACTTATCTTCAAACTCATCAACTTGTATACATTAAACATGTACAGCTTTTTTAGTGTCAATCATACCTCAATAAAGTGGTTTTTTAAAAAAGGACAGCACCAGGGCTGCACAAAGATTCTTTATCCTCTGGAAAATTCTATAAGACATATAGACATTATTTACTATATCACATGGCCTCATGTTCAGCATCATGTTGAAACAAAGGAAAACCAGTCTTCATTCTCATGGAGTTTAAAATATAACTGGCTCATGAAGGTGAAATACGTAGGATAAATGAACTCTTTAAAGTTACTCAACAAAATGCTTCCCTTATTCACACATCAGAAACTATCTTTAGAAAGTTGACGGTCTGATAACCCCTCACTTACTGACTACAGCTATGACCCTGGACCACTATTATCTCATTCACATTGTACAGATGTCTTTAGAAAATACTCTTACCTACTTATTATAGGTGGTGACAAGTAAAAATATTAATCCAATTTTATGGTATTAGTGAAAATGATGAGCAAAATATGGTCTGAACAATTCATTGTACTAATTTTCAAAGTACTAGGCTCTGCATATTTAAGCTAAGTGGAGAAGAGAAGATGAAACATAGCAACGTAGATAACGGTAATGATTTGGATAACTTTATTAAACTCATCTTGACCCTAAAAAATAGATAAATGGACAAATCACCAGGCTGATAGCAGGTAAGCACTTGCGTAAAAATTGAAGATGAAGCCCATTATTGCTACTATGCTCTTTGTTGATTGATGATGCTCACTGCCAATCCCTATATCATTGTTATCTCACAATTAAGACTGAAAAACACCTTAGGGATTGTGCAGGAGACCAAAAAAAAACTACTTAAGCAAATGTCTATATCTAAAATTCAATATCTATTTTGGGTTTTCAAATCTCTACCAAGTTTACATAAATAAAGTAGTCTATATGAAAGGTTGTGAGTGGAGAAGTAAAGTGTTGAGCCACACTGCAAAACAAAAACCAAGGAAACTGGTAGACAGAGAGATGTTTGCAGTATAAATAAAAATTACAGTTGCCAATAATGCAAATAATTATATATAGAAAGCAAATAAATTCCTGAAAGCTTGTTTTTTTAAAAATAAAAATAAAAAAAGGAAATGGCTTTACTGGATAAATCAGATAACTATGTGTTTCCTCCAAGAAAAAAAAAATCTGATTTCTTAATCTTAATTTTAAATTGTGATGTATTATGCACCATGAATTTGAAAGTAAAAAAAGTGGTACTTCTAAAATAAGCATTGCTATCATATGTAAATGGTCTCAGGGAGATATTATGGGTTAATAGAAGAGATCAGAAACCCAGATTTAATGTCCTTTGGGAAAACTAATGAACTTGTGATTTACTTCAGGAAACCAGCGAAACTGAAAACTCACCTCAAAATGTAAGAAGAATTCATCAATGCTTTGTTCCCAAGTTTCTTTAAAAAGAAATTATTCCTTTTGGAAGAAGTAATTGTGAATATACAGAATTCTTAAGAAACGGCTAAATTATACCCATAGATTTTATATTTCTTTATATTTGAGCTTTTGTAATGTTTTACATCCTCTTCCCAATCTGTGATCCTTGCTTTCTCTGTCCCTTTTTCAACTCAAAAATTTATGTTGGAGAAGACCAAAAAAAAGTAAATTAAAAATCCTTTACAAATCTCCATTAACTACCTTAGAGGGGGAGCTTGTATTTCATTGACTGTAGTTTATGCAAATAGGATCAGAGGAATTAACATATTGGAAGGAGCTGACATTTGTCCTGATATATTGAATTGTTAGCATGACAGAATCACTTAAGCTGGATTCACTAACATCAGGTTTCCTCTCATTATTGACCCCTACAGAGTAGGCTCTGACAAGTGGAACTGCTGCAAAGTTCATTAATAATGTGGAATAAATCAATTGTTCAGGAAATACTGAAAACAGATGACACTGAACTCATACATTTTGCAAGTTCAGCACAAGCCCATCTCCACCAAGGACACACAATCTCTCTCTGTGTCCTTTTCTGACCTACCCATGGAACCTGGTCTTAGATTCCGCTTTTCCTCGAGTATCCCACAGATACATGGCTCCTCAACCCCTGGAAACACAGTAAGCTAAGAGTCATTCAAAAAGAAATGGCTACAAGCTTAAAAAGAAAAAAAGTTGAAGGCTTACAAAAGATTTACAAACAGGAAGGAAGTGAAGGGCATGATTTAGGGGGTATGCCTGGATTTTACTCATATTTATGTTTATTTCAGACATACTATTTCTGTGGCCGTAGATCCTAACTAACAACAGCTCAGTTGTGTGAGTTAAAGGGCATTATCAGGAACAGCAAACGGGCAAGAATCTAACCTAGCATACTGTTTAAGATGCAGGGTAGCTACTTCTGGGATGTGAAGAATCCCTTACTGCGAGGTGTTAAACTGTGGCTGCAGACAACAATATACATATGTTTCTTTGTTTTTATTACTAGCATCGCCTCAACACTCTTCAAATTGCATCACTTAACTAAATTTGTCATCCAGAGGTTTTAGTTTAAATATGCCCATGCTCCAAAAACCTTTAGCTCTGTGTGTGTGTGTGTGTGTGTGTGTGTGTGTGTGTGTGTGTGTGTGTCCTCATGTTATACAGTATAATCAGCTTATGTTGGTCTATGCTATTGGGGACAGAAATAACATAGATAAAGGAAATCCACAGAGAATCTGAAAATAAGCTGATTTTTGCCAATAGATTTAACTTCTCACCCACCAAACCTTAAATGGAAACTCCTTTCCTTGATTGATTATTCTCCTCTTCTGGACTGCTTAATAGAAGTGCTAATTAGCAGTGCAATAATCAAAAGGAGGGTGGCAGGAGAAAAAGTAAGAATCCACAGAACAGAATCATCCACAAACTAGGGAACTGGTCCTAATCTTCTAAGAATGAATTATCCCGATTCTTAAAATTGACCGCTCATATTTTGTTTCTTTAAACTTAGTTTCTCTCTTTTTTTTTTCCCTTTACTAAGCTACATATTTTTTTAAGGGTGGAGAGGATGTCACGTTACAGACAAGATCCTTTAAGAGAAAAATCATCATGAAAACATTTCTGTTAAGTCGTTTTGCAGAGGAAGGGTGTGGTTGGTGTTTGCATAAATCCTACATTGCTTCAGTATTTGGGAATATCTCCACTGGCATCATTTCTTTTTATTTTAAAAAAATAGGTTATCTATAAAGATTTTATATGCCTCAGAACATCCTTGAAGCAATTAACGGTAGACTCAGAACACCTAAAATTGAGATTTTCTCTGTGAGTGTGGCTGTCCCCAGTCTCTCAAAGCCTGGTTTCTCCTTATCCTTCCAGTCTCAGTACAAATGTCACCTCTTCAGAGAAACCATCCCAGATGATCCAGACCACAGTTCCCCATTACTCTTTATCTTTGCAGACTATTTTTTTCTAACCCTTATCAGAGTATATAATGTTTATATTTGTTCACTTATTGGCAACTTTTTAATTTATTTAGCTCCCACTTGAATAAAATGTAAACTCCACAAAGACAGTAACTTTGTCAATGTTTTTATCACAGTGACTGACACATAGTAAAATAATAATAAATATTTGTTGAATGAGTAAATAAATAAGAATGTGAGTTTTTTGGATATATCCAGCTATCTATCTATTAGTTTTTTTCTCAGTATATAGAATAAAAACGAATTCTAATTTCATTTTTCTCATGCATTATCCAAAACCAAAATAGTCAATCAGCAACAAATTATGTACCAAAAAAATCTGCACAAAAAACATTGTATCAACGCCAATATTAGGTGTCAACATCATCAATGTAGAGAAAACACGAGTAGAACCCCTCTTTTGTTAGAAAAGCAAAATATTCCTTGAGTTTCTATTTCAAATTCAATCACCCAGAGGCATCCTTTATATACGGTATGCAATACCAAAATGTTTAAGGTGACATAGGATAACATCAGAAATCACACTTATACTCTCTCCAGGTTTTAATTCATTCATTATTGAACAAATGTTGATCTGGGACTCCAGATGTGTGGAGGCCAAACACTGAGGTTATAGTGAGGACAATATAGACACAGAACTTAAAACCATCTTAGATACATATAACTCTTTGCAATGTAGGATATGCTTTCCATATCTACTGTCCCTTTAAAGTTCCAAGCACTGTTTTATGCTTATTGAAAATATCAAAGCATGGCTTCTAGGCCCCAATCTCCCAAGTAACTGAAGTTAAAAAAGCCTGAGGCCCAGAAACTACGATTAACAATAGGACCTCTCCAAATGAAAATGAAAACAACAACATCAAGTTTGCAGTTTCATCTGATTCATTTTGTGTAACTATAGGCTACATATTTAAACTAATAAAATGTAAGGGTAAAAAGAAAGAGCAGTCATTACTCTGAAAACTAAGTTGAATGCTTTGGAAATACTTGATAAAGCTAAGTAGTATTGGCGGAACAACTGTAAAAGAAAGAAAACTTAAAAATGTGAAAAGACCAGGTGCGGTGGCTCATGCCTGTAATCTCAGCACTTTGGGATGCTAAGGTGGGTGGATCACAAGGTCAGAAGATCGAGACCATCCTGGCTAACACGGTGAAACCCCGTCTCTACTAAAAACACAAAAATTAACCGGGCGTGGTGGCGGGCACCTGTAGTCCCAGCTACTCGGGAGGCTGAGGCAAGAGAATGGCATGAACCCCGGAGGCAGAGCTTGCAGTGAGCCGAGATCACGCCACTGCACTCCAGCCTGGGTGACAGAGTGAGACTCCGTCTCAAAAAAAACAACAACAAAAAAGAAAAAATCTGCACTTGATTTCCTTGCAATGTACTTCAGTTCTTATTTTACTTCGAAGAAAGTGACATAGGAAAACACATAGGGCATTCAGCAGTTGTTTACATCAGAAACATAAAAATGAATTCCAAAAGTAGATCTATACTAAAACAAAACCAAAAGTAAACACATACAGACAGGCAGCAAAACAAAAGCCTTGATCTTAGGTTAAGCAAAAAAAAAAAAAAAAGGCCTATAAAGGTACACTTAAACATTTGCAATTGAAACAGATCTTTACATTAGATGTGATTTTTACAGATGCCCAGTTTAAATAATTTTTCAATTAACTAACCAAGTACCACCCCTGAATATTTTAGAAAAGAGGGCTTTTTTCATATCTATAAATAAGTGATCATTAAATTATTATCAGAATTCTCATTAACTCCATTGGATACTAAAAGACAATAGAACAACAACTTCAGAGTTCTAGAGGAAATTCTCAGGCTGGCAGATCTATCAGGGACTATGGATGAGGTTGTTCATTGTGGCAGGAAGTTGGAAGCAATCCCTGTAGGTAAAATGTGACAGATGTAACTCCTGGAGCACTTGCAGCCATTAGAAGCAAGATGGACATAGAGCAACATGGATCACTCTCAAAAGCAAGCAATGAGGACAAGAAAATTAAAGAATGAAGTGAACTATACATTGCACAATAAGCTTTATGAAAATTATAAATATACACAGAACAACAATACACATTCAAACAAAAATATACACATGGAGTATATTACAATAGTTACCAAACAGAAAAAGGGGAAGGGAGAGAATTATTGAAAGTGAAAGAAAATAAATACAAACATACATAGATTCATACATATAACACATTCACATATGTAAACCTGTATTCATATGTACATACATACATTCTTACAAAGACCAATGAAGATAAAGAGGTGCATATCAACCAACTACACCTCAATTCAAAAGAAAAACGATTAATCCCCTTGGTTTTATTTATTTATTTATTATTTTGAGACAGGATCTTGCTCTGTCACCTAGGCTGGAGTGCAGTAGGAGTGTGGTAGCACAATCTCTTGCAAACTCCACCTCCTGGGGTCTCAAGCAGTCCTCCTGCCTCAGCCTTCAGGGTAGCTGGGACTACATGCGTGGGCCACCACATCAAGCTTTTTTTTTGTTTTTGTTTTTGTTTGGTAGAAACAGAGTTTTGCCATGTGGCCCAGGCTGGTCTCAAACTCCTGGGCTCAAGCAATCTGCCCACCTCAAAGTGTTGGAATTACAGACGTGAGCCACCATGCCTAGCCCCCTTGGTTATTTATTTTTGTTTTTGTCTTATTTTCACAGACTGAAATCATGATTCAGCTCACCATTTTCATTAATGCTTGAACTTTGATAGCATGAGAATGTCTGTGAAAAAACTGGCAAAATAATTTAAATTCCATGTCCTGATGGTGATGGATCAAGATGCCATGCAATGCTATTAATTCAAACAGCGTGTGTTGTTAGGAAAACGCAGTACCTACACATTCCACACAGTAAGTCACAAATTTCTCCAAGTTACTACAGTATTCTTCAGTTCTCTGAGTTCCTCTGGTTTTATTTTAACAGATAGCTATGTGATGGTAAGTATATATATCAGGAGCTGTCCCAAGTACTTTCCAAATATTAATCATTTAATCCTCCTAACACCCATATGATGTAGGTATTACCATTACCCACATTTGAAGAGGGAGCTATTTGGCTCACTTGAGTTCACATAGCTGGTTAGATGACAGAACCGGAATGTGAACCCAGGTGGTCTGAGCCCAGGGTGTATGTGTTTAACCATTACACTCTGCAAAACTGCTTCTTAGATGAGGCAAAATATCCAGATGAAAACAATGTCCATATTGACACCCATCCAGAGTCAATGCCTTCCCATAATTAATCAACAAGTAGCAATATGGAAAAAAACCCCACTAAATCTGAACAAGACACTAACCTAGATATCGTACATAATACTGGGTTATCCAAATCAGTGCTCATGCTAGTAGCAGAGGAAACTAAACTCAGAGAGAGGTTAATTAACTTGCTTTGTGTCACTGAGCTAGTAGATAGCAATGTGAGGATTTGAATCCTCTCTTTGATTGACTCCATGAAGGATCATGCATACTATAGTCTGTATGAATGGCACCCTAGTGTGTATGTTATGCCTGTGAACCTAGGTCTCTTTGACTCCAAATCCAGTGCTCTTTCTACTGCAAAGCCTTAGAATCAAATAAGCCCTTACAGCATTATCAGACATAATGACAAACAATTACACAAGGCATTGTCATAGACTGTCATTTCAGCTCCATTAGATCTTGAATACTTAATACTCAGATTGCTCTCTTAATTCAAGAGTATGATTTCAGCCTGCTCTCCTTTGCTCTAAATCTATGCTCTTCCAATTACAAATTCCCCCAGGTCACCACAACATTATGAAATTCAGTACTAAGTATTTAGGGAAACAACTTTGACAGATATTTCAAAGTACTGAAAAATCTCTTCATTCTTAGAATAATCAAAGCATGGCTTTTAATGGTTTTCATTGATAGCATGTAATCGATGTTAGTAAGCATTTTTATAACATAATCATTCATTCATTTAAGTTATTCAGTTTTCACTATGTGCCAGATATTCTTTGAATATACTCCATCTATGATTTAACTAACTTTAAATTTAGTCAGACAATTCTATAATTATGCAACCACAATATATTTAAGGTGACTTCTACCATCTAATTATATTCTTTTCAGTGGTTCATCTTTCTTTGCTCTATTGATTACTTTTGTTAGCATCTTTCCAACAGATTGCTAATGTCTGTTGGAGACAGTAAACACTATAATCTGGGGATCAGCTACTTCTCTGCATAATCAAAAAGCAAGTGGTACCAGAAAATGCAGTGGGGGCTAGGTCATGTGATGGGTTCATCACCAATGTAGAGGATGTGTGCACAGGTCTTTTGGAGGTGGTGTACCTTGAGGAGTCATTTTCCTTGCACAGCTCACCTTCCAGGATCATGTAAATCCCCCTCCACTCAAACCTGCTTGAAGTTTTTTTCAGGAAATCTTGATCCTCCCTGCATCCCACTATGTCCCCAAAGGGAAATAAGTAAATACATTATAACCTCTGCCTGGTGAAAGAGAAGGCTATAAAATAAGAAGTAAAATGTGTTTGAACCCCTAGAAACTAGGAATAGGTGGCTTCAATTCTTTGATTCGCTAAAAATGATATTGACAGAATAACAACAGTGTATACTAACACTGTATGTACAATGTCCTAGCCACTGTTCAAAGTGCCTTCCATATATTCAATTGTATTAAATATTCACAACAATGCTATTGTGTGGGTTAATTTTTATCTCCACTTTATAAGGGAGGAAAAAGAAAAAGTCTAGAGGGAAAAACAAATTTCTAAAAAATAACTAATAATTAAGAAGTTACTATATGCTAAGGCCCTACCCTCACAGCTATGAATACACATAACTTCAGATTACTATCCCCATTTTATAGATAAGGAAACTGAGGTACAGTTTCCTCAAAATGTAGAGCTGAGATTCAAACCCAAGCAATAAGTCCAGGGCTTGCACTCAAGCGTTGTTATTTGCCAGGTACTGACAAACATCTAGCAGATGAAACCATGCTGGGTTATCATTTCTACAATCCAAATGACAAATATAATCAAGTTAATATTATACTGTACCTATACAAGAGCAATAATTTAAGGGTATATTATTTTAATATTTAAGGGTAAATCTTAATAATCCAGACCAGATGTATTAGTCCATTTTCACGCTGCTGATAAAGACATACCCGAGACTGGGTAATTTATAAAGAAAAAGAAGTTTAATGGACTCACAGTTCCACGTGGCTGGGGAGGCCTCACAATCATGATGGAAAGTGAAAGGCACATCTTACATGGCAACAGGCAAGCTAGAATTAGATAGAATTAATCAAATGAAAGGGGTTTCCCCTTATAAAACCATCAGATCTCGTGAGACTTATTCACTACCATGAGGGTGTAAACCCTCTACCATGGGGGAAATCCTACCATGGGAGAAACCGCCCCCATGATTCAAGTGTCTCCCACCGGGACCCCTCCCACAACACATGGGAATTATGGGAGCTACAATTCAAGATGAGATATGGGTGGGACACAGCCAAACCATATCACCAGAGGAATCTAGACACACTATAAATAGTTGTATAACTGGATAAGAGTCTAGTCATCTATTTCTCCAAGAAGCCTTTTATTACCTGGCTCTGCTAATTACCCTCTACCCCATAGAGGTAATTGCTCCCTCATCTGGACTTCAGGCCTCTTCTATTGTTACACTCTGGGACTATGATTTTTCTATTGCACATTTCTCTCCCACACTAGACTCTAGCTTCTATATTTCCTGGACTTTGTTGTATTTAGTTCTCTATTCCTAGTATCTTACACAGTGTCTGAGGCAGAGTTGGTCTTAAACTATTATTTGTTTAATGAATCAATGAATGAACGATGTTCTTTCTGAGGAATTCAAGGTCATTGACAGAGGTAATCATAATCTATCATTTGCATTTGGAGCAACAGAATTGTGAGTGTGGTGGAGAACACAAAGATAATCGGAGCAGGAGGATCTGGCGCCGAGATAGATGAATTTCAGAAATGGCCCCAATGTTCACACTTTTCTGGATATACTCCCTCTGCAATTTGATTTTACATTCTCTTTCATTAATAAGTGGAATCTATTGCACCAATCCATGAATCTGGGGTGGCCTTGTGCCTTGCTTTGGAAAACAGAACGCGACAGAAATGGTGGTGTGCTCATTCTTAGCCTAGGACTTGTGTACTTCTCACTCTCAGGAAACCCTGTCATTCTCATATGGACAGCCTGAGCTAGCCTGCTGGATCATGATAGATACATAGTCCAATCGTTTCTATCATTCTAGCCAACAGACTGTCATGTGAGTGAGGACATCTTAGACCAGTGAACCTACTGGCTAACCGTAGAAAACCTGAGTGAATCTAAATGAGATCTGTTCAGCCCAGCCCAAATCAAGGAACAACACAGCAGACCCATAGACCATGAGCAATAATAATCACCTGTTGTTTTAAGCATTGAAAGTTGGAATGCTTTGTTGTACAGCAATAGTTATATGATATAGGCAACTTCAAAAAAGATTGTTTTGTTGGATTTGTTGATATTTTGGAAGAGATACAGAAAGGAACTGCTTGAACCCCAAAACTAATTTAAAATAACCAAAACATCTTAGATCAACAGACAAAATATTTAAGAGATGATATATTCAGAACATTCAGTATGTTCAAACCCCAGTTCATACTCTACAGTCTCAGAAAGTATTTATCCATCTATTCACTCATTCATTCACTCATTCATCAAATATTTTAGTGTCTGCTATGTATGCAACATTGTGCTATACTCTAGACATACAGATAATAATAAGATATTCCTTGGCCTAAAGAGTTCACAGTTTAGTAAGGGACATAGACCTACAAGGAAATTAGTACAATAAAGTGTTTCAGGTGCCATGATAAGCACGCAGTAGAGGTATGAAAGAGAGAGTGGCCAATTCTGTACGTGTTGAGTCAGGAAGCAGGCAGTGGGAGAGGTTGGGAGAATCAGGAAAAACTTCAGAAAGAGTTAGCTCCTTTGAGTTAAATAGACGAGTATTTGTTCTCCAGCTGGATAGAGAATATTTCAGGCATAAGTGAACCAGGATAGGGAAGTGTGGGCCCTACTGGTGTGTCCACCAGTCAGTGTGTTCAGGGAACTGAAAACTGTTTGGATGATTGGAGCATTTGGTGCCAGGGGAAGCTAAGGGAGAAACAAAGTTAGAGAAGTGTGCAGTCACGTCTGCTTTGATTAATCCACCTTGAACAATGCAACGGGGACAAAATTCTGCACTGCTTCCTTTTGCAAACTGAGGAAAATGTAAACTTCTTACTATGGTGTTCCAAGGCCTTGCCAGTCTCATTAATTCTTGGTGTTCTAGTCACTCCATACTGCTCATCATCCCTCCCGGGCCTTTGCATTACTTGCCCCCTTTGCATATAATTATCCTCCCTGCCTTCTTCCTCTGCCTAATCCAGAGGCATCACCTGGTGGCTTGTGTGCCATAGGCAGTTTATTATCATGTTTTGTTTGATCCACACAGGATTTAATTTTAAAGTTATTTTTCAACATTTAAAAATGTAGATATTTAATGGGGGTGAGAGAAGCTTGATTTCTGGCTCCTCTAGGAAAACAAGAGGATTATCTAGCTATCATTTCTGAAAACAATAATTGGTTGGGATCTCCATCATTCCCTATTGTCTCTTGAATACTGAGGCTGAGTATCGGTCGCCATTGATCATATCACTTATGCCATCGTATTTTTTTATAGAAAGGCACCAAGTATAGTGAATACCACGGGCATCAGACCCAGATGGCATGGGTTTGTGTTCTAACCATGCTATATCAGGGGTGTAACCTTAGACTAACTGCTGACTCGCTTTGTGCCTCAGTTTCTTCAAAAGTGAAATAGAGATAACAATAGTAAGAGCAATAATAGAAGCAAAAATTAAATGAGTTAACTCAAACAAAGTGCCAACAGTAAATGTGTGACACTGAATGGCTGTTCTATTATTTTTTTAAAAAAAATTAATTTACATTATGTTCCTGACTGGTCTAGGAGTTAGAACTTGCAATCTTTAGCCTAACCAAATCCTACTGTCCTTTTAACAATAGCTCAAAGACTAAGCCAGGCATGGTGAGTCATGCCTGTAATCCCAGTGCTTTGGGAGGCTGAGGCAGGTGGCTTACTTAAGCCCGGGAGTTGGAGATCAGCATGCATAGCATAGTGAAAACCCCTCTCTAAAAAAACAATAATAACTCAAAGACCAATTTTCTCTTTTTTTTCTGTGCATTGTATAAGTGGTCCTCATTGTGCCCTGTGTCTATTTGGTTATATGCCTGCCTCTCTCATCAGAGGAAGAGCTTCGTGAGTGCATGGACATGGACCATGTCATATTCATTTTTGTTTTAATCTCCTGCTCCAAGCACAGTGCCTATGACAGAAAAACTGCTCAATAAATGTCACTGAATCGATGCTAATCTCTCCTACCCTAAATACCTTAAAGCACTTATGCACCATTTGATTTGTATTAAGTAATTTATCCTTATTTGTCTGGTGCTGTATAAAAGTTCTTCAGTCATCTTCTGTGTGTGAGCCTTGGTCTTTCAGCTACCTTGTGACTGGATGGCAGGAGAGATGTATCTTCCTTTCCTTTGAATTAAGCCTCCATACATGACATAGTTGCATGTGCTCCTATTTGGATAAACTTACATGTGCTACACACCGCAGAATTGTAAATGAATGGCAGCCAGAGTGGGATTCCAGGGATTGGTCACATCCCATGTAATGTCACTGGAATGCAGAATTAGATACAGGATGGGAGGGAATGGGGTTTATCAGCAGTTACTCTGTTTCTAATTGTCCTTCTATTATCTCTAGTTCATCCACCAGGGATGGCAGGAAGGACAGATTAACGTAAGAGGGATTCTCTGCTGTAATCTGGGCTCTAGAAGTAGTCAGAGGTCAGGAGAATGCTGTTCAAAATGAAAAAAAGAGGAGAAGAAAATGATCATTTCTTGAGCAACAATTATTTATATTATACATCATGCATATGATATCTAATTTCCCATAACAATTTTATGAATTGTTAACTATTTATGAAGTGCCTCTATTCATATGTGAGTACACTGATACTTCAAGAAGTTATTATGTGTTATTTGTCAAAGTCACACAGCTCGTGTAGGCCGACCAGACATTAGACCCAGGTTTGCTAGTCTTTAACATTTACGTTCTTTTCACTAATCCATCTCACTCCAGGAAAGCAGATTGAGAAAGCAAGTGCTATCCTTGTAAGCGGGATCTGAGGAGTAAACAATTATCAATGGAGAGGAAATAAATATAAGCATCATAGAGAATAGAAGCTTAATATGAGGCACCATTTTAATATGATAGGTAAAAATAAGCAAAGCACTGGAGAGATGCTCCAAGAAACATTCCCACACGTGAAATTCATTGATCCATTTTTCCATTTCATTCTGCGTGAATAAGTAATTTACTTCTAGACTGTACAACATGGAAGGATTTGAGAAGTTTGAAGTACAGATCACAGACGAAACACGCATAAATGGTGGAAACAATGGGTAAATAGTCAGGCGAGTATTCCCTCCTCCTTGTAACACCCCAGGAAGATGTAGAATGGTTTTCTTAGGTGACAAATCTATCATTTCCCAAATACTAACTTGTTGTCTTACATTGTTAATGATTTTGAGTCACTGGTTTCTAGTTTTTCTGCTTCTTAAAAAAGAGGAAACATCTAGCTGGTAATGACTGCCTCCATTTCTCCAATGTCTCCAAGAGCAATTAGACAGCTGTTTTAATTTGTTAAAGTTGAGCATTTGTGGCTTGTAAGATCTGGATATTCGACCTGGAGGCATCAGGCGTCTACTGGTCTATTTCAAGAAAGTTCAGCTCTCCTTACTTCTACCAATAATAGCTAGCCTTCATTAATGCCCACTTTGTATCAGGCATGGTTCTAAGTGCATCACACAAGTTATTTTGTTTCATCCTCATGATAATCCTAAGGAATAGAACCACTGTTATCTTCCATATTATAAGTGAGAAAATTAAGGCCTCGATATTCCGAAACTTGTCTAAGGTCATAGGGTAAGGGAGTAAAATGATGATGACAGGCTTAAAACTCAGGCTGTTTACTTTTATGGCTATGTGTCCTCATAATCTCTGTATCACTCTAGCAATCAGAAGTCTGTAACATTTGTTCCAAACCCCTGAGGGATAAACATACAAGCCTTGGCACACAGAGACAAGTCACATGGATCTTACTGGAAAAGCCATATTAAGGCTAGGATAAATATGTTATTATTTTCTGGACATGATATTTGAGTTCTTCTCAAATGTTAATAAAATATTGCTTCCAGGCCAGCCTTCCCTATATGCAAATGACTATGGAGTTCCTAAATAAAGAATGATAAGAAATTCCTGAACATGGAGAAATTACTTTTAATAGCCGTGTGCATCATAGATCAAGGATGGAGAAGCCAGTTAGGAAGGTTAAGCAATTAGATCTTTACATTTAATAGCTCATCCTTACTCCTTCTTTCCAGGATGAATAGTTATTGTGAAATTAGACCTCACACCCAGGGTCAGTGAAGCCCACATTTTTGCTGTTAGGGACGTAGAATTATGTGATTCTATACTTAACTCTTACTACTTTCTAGATCTGATCAGGTACTATGGTCTTTTTTTTTCAAACAGAATGTGTGGATTCCCAGTCTATTCTGTTTGAGAATTGGGAAAGCTCAATAAGAAGGTAGCCAGAGGCACAGATCTGGCTGTGGCTGAGGAGATAAAGATTGGGTGGGTGCAGACATCAAATGGGAAGAAATCTGGGAGAAAATTACTACAGAAAGCAAAGTAATCAGTAATATCAGATGACAAGGATGATCAGAATCTATAGATGGGCAGGATCCCAACTCAGATTTGTGATGAAGAGAAAGTGGTTCAAAGGGAATGTCTGAATGAGAACTCTTGAGTGACAAGATAATCAAATATAGTTGCTTTGATTTTGTTTTTTGATGTCTGAAGATTATCCAAGATAGCCTAGTCTTCATTCCCAAACTCACACAGAGTGGTTCAAGCGATCATTCTTTAAAACAGGCTACATGTTTGTAAGAAATTCCTTCAAAGGCTGGAATCTTGAATGACCAGAATGCACAGTCATTTTGTGGAAACTTAATAGACAGACTCGAAAATTCCAAGGAAACCTTGAATATTTAAGACAATACGCCTGTAATCCCAGCACTTTGGGAGGCCGAGGCGTATGGATCACTTGAGGTCTGGAGTTCGAGACCAGCCTGGCCAACATGGTGAAACCCTGTCTCTACCAAAAAATACAAAAACTAGCCAGGGGTGGTGGTGCACACCTGTAGTCAGGAGACTGAGGCAGGAGAATATCTTGAACCCAGGAGGCAGAGGTTGCAGTGAGGCGAGATCACGCCACTGCACTCCAACCTGGGAAACAAAGTGCGACCCTGTCTCCAAAAAAAAAAAAAGAAGATAATAATGGCTTCTGTTTATAATACAAGCAAGTTGTACCTCATTAAATTATTAATATGTCAGTATCTGCTATAAAGATTCTGTTGATCATGATAACCCTAATCTCAGCCAATTTCTCCCTTGCCTTAATACAAAAAAAGGAAATGAGGAATAACAGATAATAGGAGAATCCTTTAAGGTTTCTGTTATAAAAGTGGATCCATTTTCGAAAACATATTCTAGGGACAGGTTGGCGTAAAATAGTTCTTGACATAGTTAAATAACAAGAATCCCCTCCTAGTCCTTTATTGAGTTCAAGGAAAAAAACTTCAACTTAAGGAGCATTTGTATTTTGCGGTCCTTTCTGAGTTTTTACTCACTTCCTTCTGTCTTGCATTCAGCAGCTCTAGGTGATGTCAAGAGATTTTTGTGAACCAAAAGTCACAGATTTTAATTTTGAGTCATTTTTCTATTAGGACCATAGAATTCCATAAGTGAAGAAACAAAACACTGTCCATATGCAGATTTATATCAGGGACTGGAATCTGAGCTAAAACACAAATGTATTTCTAAGGTATATATTGTTAAGTAGGTTATTACCAACCTTTGTAAAGGTCATCTCTCTGTGGTATGCCATTTGATTCTAGAGTGAAGGAACAATTTGTGAATATTAAAAAGATAACATAAAAATTTACCAACAACTCTTGAATTGAAAATAGAAATCAACTGATATTGAAAAGATCACTTATTTTACGTTATGAAAACGAATAACAAAATAATGCAAAATTACAATAGAGCAGGTGGTTGTAATGGAGC
Organism: Homo sapiens; assembly: GCF_000001405.40. Taxonomy (NCBI): domain Eukaryota; kingdom Metazoa; phylum Chordata; class Mammalia; order Primates; family Hominidae; genus Homo; species Homo sapiens. The sequence goes on along the minus strand of NC_000004.12, from coordinate 83,872,089 downwards.
AACAACTAAACCTCACCACAAAGAACACGAACTAGAACTAGGTTTCATCTACCTGTTGGCAGCGGGTGCTTGGGGGCCTGTGTGGAGAATGATTCAGAAACTGTTCTGAGCTCACCTGGTGTGATGGTGTGAATGTTGTGTCTCCCCAAAATGCATAATTGAAACCTAATCACCAATGTGAGAGTATTAGGAGCTGGGGCCTGGGATAGGATTAGTGTCCTTCTAAAAAAGACCCCGAAGAGCTGCCTTGCCCCTTCTACCATGTGAGGACAAAACAAGAAAACACTAGGAACCACAAAGAGAGTCCTCACAGGACACAGAATCTGCCAGCACCTTGATCTTGGACTTCCCACCCTCTAGAACTATGAGAAATGAATTTCTGTTGTTTATGAGCTACTCAGAGTATGGTATTTTGTTACAGCAGCCCTAACAGACTAAGGCAACTAGAAAGAGTGTCCTTGTTGACTAATGATTTCTATTATGGCCCTGGTGTCACAGAGTGGGGTAATAGGTTGAGTGATTTTTTTAAGTGAGGATTTAGACCAAAAATGTTTTATAATATCAGGAATAAGTAAGTCTATTTGGTACATATATTAATCAGGCTAGGCTAGGCAGGGCTGAAGTTACAATTATGACCCCAAATCTCAGTGACTAACACAGTAAAGGTGTGTTTTCTAGTTGTGCAAAATCAGAAGCATGTTAAGCAGCCCCTTCTGAGGCTTGTATAATAACTGGACCATCTGTACACTTGGCTTCCAAGGTCACTATGGCCAAGGAAGCATAAGTGGTAGGACAACAGGAGATGTTTTAAGAGGCCATCCCTGAGATTGGCATCAATGACTTTAACCTCACCTGGGCCAGAAGATGGTCAAAAGGCCCCAACCTAACTGGAACACATGGAGGCTGAGTAAGCATTAACATTTTCTGCCACAGTACATGAAGGTAACTTGTGAAGCTGATTCTGGGCTCTGTTTAGAACAAGGAAGTTAGGTCTATTCAATTAATTAGACTTGATATTGGCCTGAGTGGCAGACAAAGAGCACCTTCTCTTACCTTAGCCTGAAGGTAAAAAGGAGGTGAAAATGAAGTTTCATCAGTTAGAAAAAAATTAGAGCTACACACTGGTCGTGAACCAAAAAGATTAGATATTGTCGAACTCTAGACCCTTATCCTTCTGCCGTATTAGTTGGTATGGTGCTAAAGTAAAAATTTCAGTGGAAAACAGAGTCCAACACAGATGGAGATTTTCATGAATGAACCATTTACAAAGGTTTGGCCGAGTTAAGGGAACCAACAATGAATGATTCTTGGTTCCCTTAGACACCAGCAACAGCAGGAAGTTGTTACTGCCTATTGTTTGTTCCTGAAAGGGCAAAGAGAAGAAATAGTGTTCCCAGTGAGCTCTGGAAACATGGAGAAGGAGCAAAATGACAGGAGCTGTAGTTCTGGAGGAACGTGGCCACTGCCAGAAAATGTGTCCACAGTGTGGAGGTAGAAGGGAAGAAAAACCGTGACCTCTCTCTCTCTCCTCCAGATGTCCAGTGTCCTACCAGCACCTCCCATTGGCCAAGGAGAACAGAAACTAGCTGACAAGGGAGCTGGGGTGGATCTCCCATGAGGCTCAGCCCCCAGGGGCAACCAGCAAAGCATAAAAGGAGAATTTGGGTGAGGCCTGGAAAATTCATAAAACAAGGACAAGACTGATGAGAAATTAAAAGGCACAGCTTTTGAAGAAATGGGAAGATTTATCAATTCCCTCTTTAATGAGCAATATTATCATTACCATTCCATTGGCTCAATTCCTAGGCTAGTTATTCAAGTACAAAATCCACTGCAATGACAATCTGTAGACAATACATGTATCCTAGCAAAAAAATATTATCTGAAACAAATGCACCCCTATCTAAAAAACCCTAGGGCCTTATCAAAAGAAGATCCACAAAGAAGTGGAGACCTTCTTAAGCAATCTGTTTATTCATCTATCAAATCAGCAAATGTCTTGTGAGTATCTACTAAGTGTCAGGTACTTCACTGGGCACTGAGAATACAAAGACGAACAAGACAGATATAGCTCCTTCTCCCTTTTGGTATATAATCTTTTGAGAAAGACTAAAGCAAAGTGAGCAAGAGTAGGATGCTGCAGATGGTTTGGAGAGAAGGCACCCACCAGTTCATGAAGAGCCTTGGAAGTCACGGTAAGGAATGGGTATTTTACTGCAAATTTTAGTGAGAAGCCATTGAAGGCATGAGGCTATTTTATTCTAAATGCAATAATTCTCACTGCACTTAGAATAAAATAATCCACTGAAGGTTCAAAACAATTAATTCATTATTGCTTCTGTGTGAAGAATGGACTGGTGGGAGGCAGTTTTGGAAACTGGAGGTGCCAGTTAGAAGACTATTTCAGAGTTCTAGTAAAAGAGAATTGAATGGACCAGGGTGGCAGCTGTAAAGCCAGAAGTGCAAATAATTCAAAATACATTTTCAAGGCAGATTTTATTTGTCATAACTTGTTAAGATCAGAATAAGATCAGCTTCAACCTGGAAGAATCTTTGTAAACCCATGAGTCTTATAACTGGCTTCATGGATAGTCTCTGTTCTCTCGTGTTGCACTTTTGTGAATGCACTGAATGTATTAATTTCTGAGGACTGCTGTAACCAATTACTACAGACTCGGTGGCTTCCAATAGAAATTTGTTCTCTACGACACTGGTAGCCATAAGTGTGAAATCAAGGTGTCAGCAGGGTTGGTTCCCTCTGGAGGCTCTGAGGTAGGATCTAGTCCATGCCTCTCTCCTGGCTTCTGGCGGCTGCAGGCAGTCCTTGGCATCCCTCGGTTGGTAAATGTATCACTCCAATCCCTGCCTCTGTCTTCACAGGGCCTTCTTCTCTATGTGTCTCTATGTCCCAAATTTTCCTCTTCTTTCTTTAATAAGGATATTAGTCATTTGATTTAGGATCCATTGTATGTCCAGAAGGATCTCTTCTCCAGATCTTAATTACATCTGTGAAGACCCTATTTCCAGATAAGTTCACATTCACAGGTACCAGAGCATAGGACTTGGACATATCTTTTTTGTGGGACACAGTTCAACCCACTACCCAGAACCTTTTATTTTTCTGTGTGTAATGTGAGAGTTACATCAAACCAAATAAAACCAAATTAAGTACTGGATTCCATTTACAAACCAAACTACTATACAAATGGTTATTACTTACATATTACAAAATTATTTCATCCATCTGAAGGGCAGATTTAACATAGTCAATATATTATTTTAACTATATGATTTTTTTCACAAAGATATTGTAATAACAATAAAAGGAGTTATATCACATTTGCATTTATCTAATATATAATATTAGCACTTGGGTGTAAATACATGCAAACCTATATAAATATATTCATATATAAATAAGTAACAGATATGGAAAGGTGGAAGGACAAGAGAGGGAGGACAGAGAGGGGGGATAAGAAAGAATGAGAGGAGAAAGGGGAAGGAAGAGAAAGGAAGAAGGGATAGAGAAAGGAAGGGAGGGAGGGAAATCCCTTTATGTATTATACACAATTTTCCTGTCTTGTTCAAACCAAAGCTAGATTTTCAGGTCCTAAAGAAATGGAGGCCATAGGCAAAGAGTTAAAAGAAACAAGAAGTTAATTTCATGCAACACTGAGCTTGGAGGTTTAATGATAATTTTTCATGCAATGTACCTCACAATCTAGTGATGTTGACACCATATTCCCCCTCATTTTGCACCTGAGGTTTACAGAGGTTACACAACTTGCCCAAGATCACGTGGTTGCCAAGAAAGTGGCAGACTTGGAATTTGAATTCAGGTTTGCCTGATAGTTGATCCGTGGTGCCTGATACCACTGTGATGTATCGCCAGGCTCCATTCCTGTTTATTACTTAAGCATTCTTTCCTTCATCCAATAAACATTTATTGGGTGCCTGAAGTCAAGTGATCTGAGTCTATATTCTTGATAGACTTGGATTTGGTTATATATTGGAACAAGAGGAATCAAAAATGACTCCTTATTTTTTGGCTTGATTAACTGTGCAGTTGTTCCACATCAAGGAGCTGAAGTTTACAGTGACTGGACTTTGTCATCATATCTGAGATGAGTACAGAGCTGTACTCTATCATGCAGAGCTCAAAAACAATCCCTCTCCTGCCTCCCCATACCTCCAACTGTGCATGCACACACACACACACTCCCCATGTTCATGATGCCTGGTCATTTCTAACCCCTTGTTTCTGAGACTACTCCTCCAATGATTTAGGCCCACAGAGATTTTCCCCTTCATATTAGAATGTTAGCTCTGGAAAGACCTTAAAGATCACCATCTCTGACTCCTTCATTTTATAGATGGGAAACTGAGAAAGATCCAGAGAGATAAATTTCACTGTTCAGGCTCACTCAGCTACTTATTGTCAAAACCAGAAATAGAGCACAAAAGTCTCTTGATTTCCAACCAAATTATCTTTCCTCTTAATCCAAGCTGACTTCTAAAATTCCCTTGCCTATATAGTCTCTCTTCTTCAACTAGAACTTTATGATAAAGTGTTTGGTCCTCTCATTTGTCTCCTCTGCACCTACTTTGCCTTTCTAGATAAGGTCAGAGACTGCGTCATCATTTGGCATTACACACAGTGCTGACTACATTACACAGGACTATTCAATACACTTAGGGGGTGGCTGATTGATTATGCTGTAGTTCCACATTTGCATACCTAACCTCTCATATTTTTAAGTCTACAGTCTGAATCTGCATAGCAGTCAGGTACATTTGGTTCTGGTCTGCTCTAAAGAGAAAGTAAAAACTTGTTCATTTTATATTTATTATTATAAATGCTATTAATATATCTGTTCAGCCTATCCTTTTTGATAGGCTGAGCAAATATATTAATATCATTTTTTTTCTATTTATTTTACCATCTCTGAACAAACTGGGCTAGCCTAGGGTCCTAGATTCTGTCTACTTGTCACTGAGTTCTGAACATCCCATTAGTGATCGATGACCTAATGCTTTTAAAATGCCTTCCAGGAAGGCTTCCTTATTGCCCACGCTGTCTCAGGAAGGAGGTGGGACAGTAGGTAGGGAGGGGAGTGGAGAAGTCTAAATTCACTGAAAACAAATTTTGCGTTTAGAAACAAGTGAGTCTTGGCTCAGTGTTCACTAGCATTTTAGGAACCCAGGCAGGATTAATCCTTCATTCATTCTCACTGATGTAAAAGGCTCATGCTTTTCATCTGTTCCTGATCTGACACCATACTGCCTTTTGCCTTGTTCCTGGACACACTTTAACAGCTCAAAGAATGCTGCCTCTGGGTTTCCAGGTAGAACCAGTGAGAAAAAACGCTGCTTCCTAAACTTGTCTCAGCTCAACTGTGATTGCCAGTCTCATTCCAGATCACCTATGACTCCCTTTGAAACCAAAACCATAGGTCCATCTCTCATTTGTTTTTGTGTTGCTGTTTCATATTTCCTGGATATTACTGGTGTCTAAATGCTCTGTACTAATGACTAGTTATGCATAAACTTCACTCCTTGAATATTTTCATAATTAGTATTTTAACTAGTTATGTTAATAACTAGATTCACACATCTGAGCATAAACTTCACCCCATGAATATTTTCATAATTAGTATTTTAACTAGTTATTTATGCTAATAACTAGATTCACATGTCTGTACTGCTTAGGGGTTACCAGATCTGACTTAGGAGTCATGCAGATCTGAGCAAAGCATCGGTCTTCTATTTGTCTGTGTGACACTGGGCAAAAAGTTTACCCTCTCCAAGCCTCTGTTTCTTCATCCCTCGTTTAAAGATTAAAATGATCTCCACATAGGGTTGTTGTGAGAAATAAAAGATTTAACACATATGAACCTTTTCGCATAGTGCCTGACATATAGTGATCCTTTGATAATCACCGGCTGCTCTTAGTATTACCAGTGCTATTGTTATAAGGCAATAAAATGTTCCTAGAAGTTATAATAGTGATGGACAGAATCAGAACAAGAGTTTCTTCAGTGACTTTCTGATTTAGAGGAGGAAACAAAAGAAACTCTGGGAAATGCTGGAAACTGTCTTGGTGCGTTCCCCACCCTGTGGGTGGCATGACCCAGTGAACAGGCTAATTGAGCAGCAATCCCAGATAACTTCAGGAGATGATGAATTTTGTGAGCATTATTTGGAAACTTGATCTTGCCAACAAAAATAAGCAGGGGTCTCTTACAAAAAGAGTTTAAAATGTGGTCACTAAGCAGCATTTTGAACAGCAAATACAGATGGACAGTAATATTTACGGTCAATTTACCGGAATCAGGTATCAGATGACCTCTGACACTAGCCACTGCTTACTAAAGAGCTAATTAGCTGTAAAAATGAGGTGACAAGTCAATTGTATCAGCACAAAGGACGAATTTGTCATGTGGGATTTCGCTGGTAGTAAGGCCTGCCATTACAGCTTCTGGGTGGCTACTTTGCCTACCAAAGCAGCTAACTTTCCCTGAAGGGAAGAATGAGGTGGGAGTCAAGATTAAAGGAAACCCAGGGGTGCTCACATCAGGGTCAGGATGTGGCTCAAACAAGAACCTCTTGGGCCCAGAGATACAAGGTTTCATGGTCTGATAGGTGAGAGAATGCCTGCCCCATCAGGACTGTTGTTTAATTACTATTAGAAACCTGGCTTTCTTTGACTACTGATAGAAATGCTGTTACTCACTGTGTTTCCCCCTCTGCCTTGGCCAGCAGAACTAAATGTTGTTTTCTCCAATGCATAATGCTTAAATTCATGTGTGTTCACTGAGAATGCTGGAAACCACAGAAAACTTAAAAGAAGGCGGGGGGCAGAAAACATCTCTAAATCCCCCATTCTTAATAATCAGGATTTTAACATCTTGACATTTGGTATAGCTCTTTCTTATAATACCTTAGTAAAAAAAAATTGAAATCAGATTGTCTATACAGTTTATGGTCTTCCTTAACTTCACATTGTATCAAAAAACAGATCTGTATGTTAATTACTATTTTTAGTAATAGGATTTAAACAATTTTATGCTATTCCACCATATGGACAGATCATAATTTATATAATTTCTGTGCTTCCAGGTTCTCCTCCAGCTCTCAGAGGTCACTCTTCTTTTAATGCTGACATAACAATCGTCTAATTCCCCAAACTGCTGCGCAGGATATTCAGATTTCCTTACCTAATAACTAGCTGGGGACTCCCAAGGATGCGTACGCGTTCCTAAAAACATGTCCTGTGTGTCATTTGTCAGCATAGCCTATGCTCACCATGTTAGCTGGCTCCTAACCATTGCTCTCTGTTCTGACACAAATCATCGCTCAAAAACATCTGGGCTCCACATCTCCTTGAAGTAACACAGCCATGGCTACACAGGCTAACAGGAGAGGAATCAACGCTGGGTAGAGAAGACATGCTCCTCTATTCCTTTGTCCTAACATGAACACAGGCCCCTCCCTTACATCCCTGAAGTCCAGCTAAAACTAGGCTGTGACATTACACAGAATTTTAATGAAAGCTTATGGCTAACGTGGGTACAATACAGAATGATTTACTACCAGAAGAGTTTCTCTAGGCTACTCCACACGGGAGGAGCCACCAGTAGAAATTTCTAGACACCTCCATCCCCAAAGTCTTGACCCCACCTCCTCATTTGGCTTCAGAGGAAGAGTTATGTTTTCTCTCCCTCATTCTAAGACACCCTAGTCTCTTCCACAGAATAATTGAAAGTGGAAACTCCCTTTTTTTTCCAGAGAAAATTATCATCCTCATTCAGAGGGTGTAACCTGACCTCCATGGTCCAAACAAAGTGACTATAAGAGTTGGCCATGTCTTTCTTAAAGTCAGGATTATGTATGTTAAGTATCACTGTGCCAACACCAGGCCAAATGTTTCACATTTTTTTTTTCAGCAAGAAGTGAACCTATAAGTTCTCCCTGGTTTGTTCTGCACACCAGCTCCTGAAACAAAATATTTAGACAAAACACACACCCATCTCTCAAGGACTGCAAGAGTATTGAAGTACCAACCAGATGAAATTTATATTAAAGTAGAAAGTAGTTCTGTTGATTCGTTCACTGTCTACCTACTAACCTCCCCCTGCCATTCTTCAGCAATTTACACAGGTAAAATATTTTACATCTCAGTCTGAAGCGTTTGCCTTCAAGTTCATGGAGACTTCACAGTTTTTTTCCAAGGGCAATTGATAAATTCTCTATCTCCACGTGATGCCACTAGTTCTAAATAATAACTGTAACAAAAATTGAATGATACTTCTGCAGTGTCAAAAACATTATTGCTGTGGGTTCAATTGTGTCCCTTAAACAGATATGTCCAGGTCCTAAATCCTAGTATCTGTAAACGTGACCTTATCTGGAAATAGGGTCTTTGCAGATGCAGTTAAATTAGGACGAGGTCACACTGGATTCTAATGATCCCTTATCCAATGACTGATGTCCTTATAAAAAGAGAGAAATTTAGGCACAGACACAGAGGAGAGAGGGCCATGTGAAGAAACAAGTAGAGACTGGAGGGATGCATCTACAATGTAAGGAACACCAAGGATTGCCAGCAACCACCAGAAGCAAGGAGAGAGACATGGAACAGAGAACCCCTGGAAGGAAACAAACCAGCCAATGCTTGGGTTTCAGACTTCTAGCCTTCAGAACTGTAAGAGAAGAAATTTTGATTCTTTTAAACCACTTATTTGGGATAATTTGTTATGGCAACACTAAAAAGCTAATATAATTCTTATTTATTTAACCCACTGTTTCTCAGTGGGGGTGAGTTTGTTCTCCAGGGGACATTTGGCAATGTCTGGAGAAGTTTTTTGGTTGTCACGATGGAGGCAATGCTGCTGGCATCTGGCATCTGGCATCTTGTGGGCAGAGAGCAGGGACGCTGCTAAGGATCCTACAATACACAGACCCCCCCTATAAAAAAGAACGACCCCTGTCTAAAACGTCAATAGTGCCAGCACTGAAAAGCTCTGACTTAATCTATCCCTTGTATTTGGAGATTTTCTTTCCCTTTTTTTTTTCTGCCATAAATAATGCCGCAGCGAACACCATGGCGCACAATTACTGGTCAACTAATAGTATAAATTTCTTTCATTTCATTTCTTAGAGAACTGTGCATACATTTTTCTTGTTTTAGTGGACATCTTGCCATTTCTTGTCAACCTATTTGAATACTTTTTTGAGGCAGATAAATTATAAACAATAAGTACATAAAAGAATGAAACATCACTAACATTTCAAAGGTAATAGAAGCCTCAGTGCCTCTTACAGTTACCTTTTTATTTGTTCTAATATTCCACACAGCACGGAGACATTGTGTAAGAGTGTTTCTGTGTGTGTGTGTGTGTGTGTGTGTGTGACGGAGTCTCTGTCACCCAGGCTGGAATGCAGTGGCGCAATCTCGGCCCACTGCAACTTTCACCTCTCGGTTCCAAGCAATTCTCATGCCTTAGCCTCCCGAGTAGCTGGGACTACACGTGCCTGCCACCAAGCCTGGCTAATTTTTGTACTTTTAGTAAAGACGGGGTTTCACCGCATTAGCCAGATTGGTCTCGAGCTACTGACTTCACGTGATCCACCCGCCTCAGCCTCCCAAAGTGCTGGGATTATAGTCATATTGTCTTAAATATTCAAGTAATCCACCCACCTCAGCCTCCCAAAGTGCTGGGATTACAGGCGTGAGCCACCATGCCCAGCAAAAGTATCATTCTCATAACAGCTGATATAAACAATATGCTATTCCAGGATTTAAAAAAATCTGTGAATGTCACAATAACAAAGACTTGGAACCAACCCAAATATCCATCAATGATAGACTGGATAAAGAAAATGTGGCACATATACACCATAGAATACTATGCAGCCATAAAAAAGAATGAGTTCACGTCCTTTGCAGGGACATGGATGAAACTAGAAACCATCATTCTCAGCAAAATATCACAAGGACAGAAAACCAAACACCACATGTTCTCACTCATAAGTGGGAGTTGAACAATGAGAACACATGGACACAGGGAGGGGAACATCACACATCAGGCCTATCGGGGAGTGGGGGACTAGGGGAGGGATAGCATTAGGAGAAATATCTAATGTAGATGACAGGTTGATGGGTGCAGCAAACCACCATGGCACCTGTATACCTATGTAAGAAACCTGCACGTTCTGCACATGTATCCCAGAACTTGAAGCATTAAAAAAAAAAAAAAAGTCATATGGCCAAGCAAAAAAAAAAAAAAAAAAAAATCTGTGAATGTAACAAAGTTATGTTTTAAAATAGAAAATTTTAATTTTTTAAATGAAATAGAATTTGATCTAGCCATTGGGAAGACTTTTATACTAGAAGGTACATAACATTGTTCATTTTAGCAATGGAGAAAAGAGGTGATTAAATTGATATCTGAGCCTCAATGTCCATGACCTTACCAGGTCTTTTTCTATTAGATCCCGGGAAAACCCTGCTGCTCAGGTGTGATGGTACTCTCCTGCAAGTATTGGGCTGCCAAACAGTACATCTTTATATAGATCACTACTTGGTCCTCTCCTCCTCCCTAACCCTGTCCTGTTGAGTCAGTCAAGGGTAACTGAGGGTATGAGGATGATCGCTGAGACAATGCAGAGCAGAAATTCTGGCTCAATCAATATTCCGCAGTTATCTCTTGCAGCCTTGGCCCCAGCTGGGAACTCGCACACATCAGGCTCCTGGGAGGTTTCTCAAAGGTTCTCTTCCATGCTTCAGTGGAAATGTCAGAATACACTCCTGGGTTATGTGCCAGAGGATGTTACCTGAGGCCTTGAACTAGAAAATCAATAATCCAGGGACACTGAGGATGGAAGATAAAGTAGCTAACTGAAATTTAATAAAAATTATATGTATGTATCTGACTTTTAGCAGACTATAAAATAAATTTAACCCTGGCAGCCTAGAAGGAAAAGTGAAAAAATATCTAACTAAAAACAATCATTTTGTTAGTTCTAATCTTCTGTTAATACTATTTAAGACAATTCCTTTGGTGGTTCAAAATTGGGACAGAGATATAGATTTTACTTATTGTAACACCCATCAGAATAATAGTCATCACTGAAATAAGACCAAACAGTGGCTCTGGAGGTGTAAACAATTTAGAAAGTCAAATGAAAATATACTTGAACCTCAAGGAAAGAAAATTCTAGTACAGTAGCCCCAGATCTGTGGCTTCACTTTCTGAGCTTTCAGTTACCCAGGATCAGTTGCTTCTGAAATATTAAATGGAAAATTCCAGTTGACAGAGGGAGGCCATGTTCACATAACTTTTATTAAAGCATATTGTTATAATTGTTCTCATTATTATTAATAGTTATTGTGTTGATCTCTTACTAGGTGCCTAATTTATCAATGACACTTTACCATTTGTTTATATAGGAAAAAAACATAGCCTATATAGGGTTCCGTACTATCCATGGTTGCAGGCATCCACAGGGGTTCTTGAAACACATCCCCTGCAGATGAAGGGGGAGTATTGTAATCAATTTCTCAAAGCTACTCACAACAGGTGAAAACAGAGCTATATCATAGCACCAGTTCTTTGGGACACAGCACAGTTGTTTGTTTTACCGCACATTCCAGGCACCATGTTGCTATTGCCATTGAATCTCCCTAAGAAGTCACTGTGGCATGTGGCTGAGAGCCAGTAAAAAAAAAAATTAATCACTCCAGAATGCCAGTAGATCCCATTTTAAGCAACCTTGAAATAAGCAAATCAACTAACATAGTAAATATTTGTGGCTACGACTTTTATTACCAGAGGACAATTTACTTCAAATAAGTATTCTCCACAGATTTTCTTTAAATAGCAGATATCCAAAGTGCCTAAATGTTTGTTTACTATCCTTCAGGACCCCGAGTTCATAGGCAGGAAATATAAAGAGCTGACTAAAGATTAGTAGAAACTGAAGTTGAAGCACTTCTGAAATAATAATTATGAAAAAGTAATTACATTAAATTGACTCAGTGTTTTGGAAACATGCCAAATGCTTAAAAATGAATAATGCCTTTTACCTTCTCCTTCAATATCTGTTAGCCAAAATGACAAAGAGTTGAATTGAAGATGTTACTCCTGCTGAAAAATCGGATATCACAGACTCAGCGCTAAACTTAAGTCTATTCAATTGGCTCATTTTACAGTCTCAGCTCTAGAAAGTTTAAATGATTTGCCACCAGGTTACCAGACTTCCAGACCATTTCTCCTATCATTCATTTATTTTTATTCAAATTACACAGCAAATAACATTCTTGTGCAGAAAATTTGGAAAATTCCTGAAAGCACAAATAAAGCAAAAATTATGCATAATCCATGTACTCCAAAGATAATCCTTACTAATATCTAAATAATTTAACTATGCCTTTTTACAAAATTGGAACCTTACTGTGGATATTGTTTTGTAAGCTGCTTTTGTTTCCACGTAATAATATACTTGAACTTTTCCATGGCATTGAATATTATTTTACCATATCACTGTTTAAAACTACATAGTATTTCAGATTATGGATACAGAATAAATTATTGTAGGAAATCTAGGTTATTTTCAATATTTTATTATTAGAAATACTGTGCTCAGGAGATATAAATCTACATGCACATTTCTATTTCTTTGGAATATATTATTAAAAGTAAAATTGCTGGTTTAATGGAAAAACACTGTAAACTCCCAAGTAAAGCTCCCTCCCAAGTTGTATCAGTACTAACTTCTGACACACTCACATCAGCAATAGTCATTATATTTTTAAAACTCTTTTTCTAATTAATAAGCAAAGAAAATGGTAGCTTGCTGATTTGCATTTATTTGATTACTGGAATTTGATTTTATTTTCTTGAAGTGTATTGACCATTTAAATCTTATATTTTTTAAATCGTCCAAGGCCATTGTATCCACTTTCCAACTTGCTGTGTGTGCAAGGAATTAGGATTTTGTTTCAGGGTTGTTTTTGTTTACTTTTGTTTTGTTTTCGTTACTACATGCTATGGCTTCTCTAATAAATAAAGCACGAGGGATTACTTTATAATAAAAAAAAAAAGTTAAACAATTTTACAGACTTACTTATTGGTGGCAAAGCAGGGCCTAGGAACCAGAACTTGTCACTCCAAGAACAATGAACCAATATCCTCAATTTTGACCCCCAAAAGCTTCAACATTAACAAGTTTCAACAAAGCAATCACTTCTGCTTTATTTGTTGGAGAAACTGTTGTAGTATATAATTAATCACTGCCTAGATCTTCCCTACCCAACAAAAAATATAACAATCTATATGCTCATAATTTATGTATCCCATTGCAAGTGAAAGTTTCGGTGGTCATATTGTTGTCTTAGAGAAAAGCTAACAATTCCTGTGGGCTTTCACTCCTACAAACACAAGTTCAGAAAAAAGGTGACTCCGCACCACCTGAGCTCACACTTTCTTGTTTTGACCATCCTGCCTATTCCCAGCAAGATCTACTATAACTAGAATCATGCTCAGGAGATGTCTGAGTGGCTGGGCAGCAAGTCAACCCCAAAAGAAATCTTCGTATCTTCGTACCACTGGACAACATAAGCATATTTCACTCTCTTCCCCGCCCACCCCCCACTCCTTTTAGAAGCTTTCATGTTATTTTATGATGTGACTCTTCCCCATCATTCTGTATTTTTCTGAGCAGTGAACAGGAAAGACATAGCGAGTCATATATGCTAAATAAATATGGCCAGTTCTTAGATCTAAAAGACAGAGGCAGATAAAGAAAGAAGTCATCACTATTTAAAAACACAAACAAACCTTAGCAGCAGAGCACTTAACTGGTAGCCTTTGCTCAAGTGGAAGTCTCTTTGTTTCAGCACAGCGAATGGATGCCAGGCAGATGTTGAGTAAATTTGTAATAATAACTCATTTGAACATACGAGAAGCCCAATATTGAAAAAATTAAATATGGATAAGAGATCTCTCTATTTAAATTTCTCCTGACACTGCTGTCCCACGCTACCTGGAAAGCTACAAAACTAGAATAGAATTTCCCTAGAGCTCAAATATGATTCTCTCCTTTGTGCCCCAGAAAGTAAAATTAAGAGGTGGGGAGGAAGAGAGAGTCGAGTCAGCAACTTCAATCACTTTTATCCAATTCTTCCTTGTCCTGCTTTATACTCTCCATAGCCACAAAAAGCACCAAATACACATGGTAGGAAAGCAGGAATTAAAGTAGTATCCTGCAAAACACTTTATAATATATGAGAAATGTGATTGTGAAATAACAAATCAAAATGTTCTCTAGTAATCATTTTATATGCATATCTTATGATTGCATGATATTTGTACATATTTTCTCTCTCAAATGTTTACATGATTCTTGAAATTGTCTTTTTATTCACTGTAATCTTGCACCTACATATCACCTAAAATTGCTTCATTTTATGTAAAGCTTTCTTTAAGTGGAAAAGGAAAGTAACAAATTGAGATGATATTACCAGTTTTAGTTGGGAATAGTCATTTAAATATGAAAAGTGAAGTGGAAAATTAAAATAATCACCTAGGGTATCCAAAGTAGGGAAAAGTCACTTACAACTCAGATATTGCCATGGGTTTTCACATTTTCGTGGATAGAGATGGCCTTAATTGTTTCTCCAATGTGACTTCGAATAGAGGATAATTGAATAGGTTGGCATGTCTTGCGGAAGGTATTTTAAACCTGTCTCAATAGCTTCTTCAATGAGGAAAAAGTGAGGAGGCAGTTTTTCCAAAGGCAGGTGCATTCATTTTAGTGAGGGCAGACAGAAATAGGGCACATTTGTTGTCTAAGCCTTCCTTCCCAAACTTGTTTTTAAGGTTTTATGGCAAGAAAACCTGTGCTTGTCTTCTGCTATTGGGCTTTCAGATGATGTTTCTAAACAGAAAAGAAGCCTCTGGCATTTTTTACATTGCAACCAGCAGTTGCTTGGCTGCACTATCAAAGCAGGCCCAGCAGATCCTCTTGAATGGAGAATCTAAGACCCACCACAGACTCTGACTGCACTAATGAACTAAGAGCACAGATTGCGTGGGGGCTCCAGTAAGGCAGCAGGGGGACATAAAATCCCATGGAGATGGGATCAGGCTGCAGCCATAAAGAATCAACTTGTCTTCGTAGGTGCTGTAAGTTCCAACATCTGCTGGCCATATAAAACAAAGTGGCTAATGGATGGTATGAAAAGGTAAATATACCATGAAGAGTTATTTTGTTACTCTTCTTGGCACTGGTCATATCAAGGTTTGGTGTTTTTTTATATTAAGCAAACTTATATGTAAATTTTCTTTAGCAAATAGCAGAGTCAAATGAATTACTTTCCTAATTTATTTTAACATAATAATACCCAGGAGTAATAGAGTAAAATGTTTTAAACAAGAGCACATCTTAAAACAGCAATCCTGATGAAACTAATGGGACTTGTCTCCTAATGGAAGATTCAGCAAAACAAGGAAACTGTATCTACAGATCCAGGCAGCACTTAAACAAAAACTCAATGGCAAACGTCCACAGTTATTCATGGAGAAGTCAGTGAAGTAGTTAAGGACCCAGGCTTCCGAGTTAAGAGGATCTGGGTTCAAATCCCCAGTCAGGCGTTTACCAGGTATATAACTACTCCGAGATTCCATTTCCTCTCTATATAAAATGGGAATAAAAATAACTTCCTCACGGAACTGTAGGCAGATTAAAATAAAACATTTGAATATGCAGAACAGAACTAAAACAAAGTGAGCATTCAATAAATGGCAGCATATTATTATTTCTACTACTATTGACTATTTATACCCTAGTTTGTCTCAGGATACTTTTAAGGTGGCCTATAAAAATAACTCACACAATGCAAAATAGCACAAATCCAAAGTAGATGGGGGAAAAGCTATCAAAATTAGGGAATGTTTTAGGCAAAGAATTCATTTTTGCTCTGTGGTTCCATCAGATTAAAATGTGTATTTTTTCTTCATGAAATACTCATCAAATACACAGAAACTGAAACCAAGGCACAACTTTGCAACAATAAAAAGGACTCTTGGGAAGACTAAAAACTTCATTTTTATTTCACTTCAGGTCACAGACTCTTGCTCTTGCTCCCATGAAAATACCGGTTATCAGGAAACAGGCTACCATAAACTTTAGTGGCTGGGGCACAAGTACCAAGAGCCAGAATAATATGGCCTTAGCTGGTTCTTTTCTAAAAGAGCCATACAAACTTCCCTTGCACTTTGCACTCCAGTCTTTCACCCATCCCTTCCCTGATCTCCACGCTTAGCAGGGTGTGTAACACCACACAGTCACTCAGTGAGACCTCAAAAAATAAGATCCTATAATAAATTTTGTCTTAGAAATGATACACTACATCACTTTCAGTGTCAGATCTCTAGGGAGGAAAGCATCTTGGCATGTAAATTTACACAAGTCTACTTTTGAATATTAATTACGTATCGCACTACCTCCTCACATAATTATTTTTACTATAAATTTGGAGCCATTACCCAGCAAGCTGTAGGATTAGCATTTTAAAGACTTGCTGGAGATGGGAGATCAACCAATAAACATACTCTTGGCCCCCCATTGAGAGATCCTTTAATTTCTGATGCTCAAAGTATATGTTTATTCTGACAGACTGAGAACTGGGAAGGCTTATACCACAGAGATGAGAAGAAAAAGGTTTCCCCTTGAATGCGAAGTCCAGCTGGATGACTATGGTTCCCTGGAATTCACTGTGGAGGAGTATCCCTGACTGGTGTTTAAGATCAACGGAAAAGAATTCTGCGATGAGACAGTGACGTCTGTCATAGGCAAAGGAACGAGGAAGTGGGGCATGGTGGCAGATATTTGCCTTTCCTGCTATAACCACTGGACCTACAAAGCACTTATTACCAATTTGAAACCATAGAGAGTTGCCAAGTGTCATTTTAAATGCTAAGCCAAGCAGTTCCTCCAAACCTGTAGACCCCGACACTCTTTGATGCTGTTATCCCCACTAAAAAACAGTACAGGTGAGTCTCAGACTGATGTTCAGTCAAAACAGTCTGCTAAAATTACTATTATGCACAGGAAGTTCCCCCGAGAAAGCACCAGAAGGTGGACAGAAAGGCCAGTTAAGAGGGGAAGGTGCTACTGTCCTCTCAGATGTGCTTTCTTCTGTAGAGCAAGGAATATAGCAGAATACATCTTTGGCAACTGAAGCAAAGAAGATGTCCGATTCAGAGTGGTTTTGTAGAGTTAGTCCTGAAGAGAAATGCTTCCTTTTAAGCAAATCTATCACTACCACTCATATCAGTCTGGCCTAGCCTGACAATAGCTGTGCCTACAACCACAGCTAGGGAGTGTCTCCACCTCTACCTCCCATTGCCCAGCATCTTTAGGATAACTATGGAGGCTAATTCATAGCCTGGGTTCAGCTTGGCAGCCCTTCCTAACATCCTTAAGAACCACAAAAGGTTGGGAGCAAAATCCTTGTCATCTTTTCCTGCAGTTTAGACTGTGTGTGACTCGGCTCACATGGATGGTTTTTTGTTGTTGTTGTTGTAATGAGTAGGAGACAAGGGAGTCCTGAGGCTCGAGGTCAAAATGAAATATTTTTCTTTCAAAATAGTCATTGAAGGGAAGAATACTGCGTAGTTTTAAAATTGTATTCTTATTCAAGATTGCTTCTTAAAAAATGGCCATACAATAATTTGGGTGTACATGAAGGTTCACATATTGTATGATTCCATTATATGTAAAATATCCAGAATAAGTAAATCTATGGAGACAAAAAGTAATTTTGTAGATGCTAGGCACTAGGGGAAGAAGAAAATAGGGAGTGACTGCTTAATGGGTGTATCTCATTTTGGGAGTAATGAAAATGATTTAGAACTCAATAAAAGTGATGGTTGCACCATATAATGAATGTTCTAAATGCCCTGACGTGTACACTTTAAAATAATTAATTTTATGTTATGTAAACTTGCGAATTTCACTTCAATTTATTCAAAAAGATAATTTGTGGGGAACTTTGGTGAAATTTGACTATGAATGGATATTAAATGGCATTATGGAATTATTAATTTCTTGCATATGATCATGGTATTGTGTTACACAGTAGAAAGATATTTTTTATTCTGTTTTCAAAGGTAAGTGCAGAAATCCTTAGAAGTATCATGAAATCTGCAGCTTACTTTCTAATAGTTCAGCAAAAGTCATCCATTTCTATACAGAAAGAGATTAAAGCACATAGCAAAAAATATGATTGTTGAATCTAAGTGGAGGCTACGGGGCTGCTCATTGTATTATTCTTTCAACATTTCAATATCCTTAAAATTTTGCAGAGAAATATTGGGAGAATTTTTTTTCGATGATCTCCTGAAATTCAGAGTAAAGTTCAAGGCTCACATTAACTAACTGATTTATTAGTTCATTAATTAATGCAAAACATTGTTGAGCACCTGGTAGATTCCAAGTGCTGTGCTAGGTAGTCCAAGTATAATAATGAACAAAACAGATGTAATCTCTGCTCTCATAAAGCTTGCAGCCCAGGGAGGAAACCCATAAATAATTAGGCAGCTCAGTATGAGCTATGATGGGAAGATGCAAGATGCTAAGAGAATGCAGAGGAAGAAAGACAAAAGCTAAGACCTGAAGGAC
Source organism: Homo sapiens (assembly GCF_000001405.40). Lineage (NCBI taxonomy): Eukaryota > Metazoa > Chordata > Mammalia > Primates > Hominidae > Homo > Homo sapiens. Next base: position 83,853,402 of record NC_000004.12, on the reverse strand, counting down.
CTTATTTAGAGTGCTATAGAAAAAAACATTCAATGATATTTGTTAAAGCATAGTAGGGCAGACTTTATCAGGACCCTGGCAATAGATATAGGGACCGTGGCAATGGGATTTTGCAGTGGCGAAGAGAGATTGGATTCAACTTCAAATACAGCATGGACAAATGGTAATTTATGACCAAGAAGCAGGGTGGGGCTTAGTGGACAGAAAATTACTAAGAGAAAACATCAGGCGTGAGGTATGTTCTGGCTAAACTGACCTAATAGGATTCTTGCTGAAGAAAGACCAGGGCAATCAGATGTCACCCGGGAGATGATGGAGGTTGAAGAACCCAATAAGATAGCAAGGGGATCCGATATTGAAGATGGAGGATTCTCACTAAACTGACTTAGCAGCGTTCTTTGCTAAAGCTGGATTTTACAAGAAAGTGCACAGATGGGCCTAGGAGAAGTTTCAAGAAGCTAACTAAAGTTTGGTCAAACAAAAAAATCTTTGTAAAGTCAACCAAGTAAACAGAGAGAAAGAATATTCCAGGCAAACCCATAGGGTGAAGGCCTAGAGGGGAGATTCTGGGCCAGAGGCTGCAAATCAAAATCCCTGCAGAAAGAGCCAGACAGCATAAATGAATGAAAACCAGAGACAACCCCATTTTTAAAGGGTCATCAAGTCTATTGTGGGTACACCACTGAACTCCAGTCAACAGAAAGCCAGGAGGTGTGTAGTGGGGGGGATGGGGGGTGGATGAGAAAAATCACGGACCAGTGAGGTCAGGTGATCACCCCCAGTCCCAGTTCAGAGTACTTTCCCCTTTCCTATCTTGCTTTTGGAAGTGTAGACCTTTCCTAAAGAAGAGGAGTCGGAGCAGCCAAAACTATGTTCAAGGCATTAGAAAATCACCAGGACTGGGTGAATAACCATGACCATGACAATTAGCCAGGCACAGATCTATACCTGTACTCATGCAATCTGGGGCCTTACTACTATGCATATTTTTCATTTAAAAAAAATACAATTGGAGAGAGAAGCATAAGCACAGAGTGGCAATTCCTAGAGCTGTAAATCTTCAGTATATTCTAAGTTAAATTGATTGTCCTCCTGGAGCTACTTAAACATAATCACATAGCAAAATGATGAGAGGGCTCAGTCTTCAGTTTTCTTTTGTTTTGTTTGCCTGACTGTAGCCAGACTGTTGCTGATTCACATTAGAGACATGAGGAAAAAACCCTAACTTCCTTTCTCCCCTATTTTCACCGTAGGGCAGACAGAGGAGGAGAAGACAAGAAGGTGAAGTTTTAGGAAAATAGAATACTTGAGAAACCTTGAAATTAATATGGTGTTTGGCCTTTTGGCAATAAATAAATTAGGCTAAACAGCTTTGAGTTACCCTTTTTCCAAGGCTCAGTAGGGGTTAACATCAAGGAAGCTGGAGAACTTGGCAGAATGGGAAGTGCCCAGCACTGTGTTTAAGATTTCAGTCGGGGAGATCTGAGGGGTTTCTGCAAAATCCATGACAGCCTCCGGTGCCCTGAGAGACGCCAGGATATCCATGAAGACTTGGAGTGCCCACTTTACAATTAGAGCCCTAGAAGAAAATACTCCACTCTTTCTATCTTGAAACACATCTCTTCGTGTTATTTTATTCTATTCTAGGGCCTGAGAAGAAGCCTGGCTGCTAATTCACAGCTCCAGCCCTTTGAAGTGCCATTGATATTCCAAACTAGGGGAGCCTCCCGCATCATAATGGAATCTTCAACCCGCCCCGGGCTATACTACAAATAAACTTGTTCCAGCGAAATCTGCAAGCAGGCCCTGAGCACCAACGCCAGCCGACCTCTGAGAAAGCAGCTTGGGCAGCATAAGCTTTGCAAAGGAAAATAAAATCCTCAGCATGGAGTCTCAAACAAGAAAAATAGTGAGATATTTAAACCTGACCATTTCTTTTTAAAGACTTGGGTGTTCTTCAGAAAGGGAATTTCCCTCCCACCCCAGAAGGGTCCAAAGTGTTACTCATATTATTTACAGAGCTTTGAAGTGTGCCTCCAAAGTTTGAGTTCAGCTCTGAAGAATGTGAAGGTCAAATCATTTTCCCTTTCTGATGAAGGAAGGCTGTGAATTTAATACCACAATTTATTCAAAACAAGGAAATACACTGAGGCACTCTCCACTATTAATGCACAACAGTAGACGGTTGGAACCATCTCATACTCCAAAGAGTTTATATGGTTTGGCCAACAGTGGTGATACATTTAATGAGCCTCTGGTTAATCCATTCCTACCAGACTCAGCACCTGTAAAATGCAAGACACTTTGCTTCTAATAATAGGAATTGAGTTAATTTATTTAAACAATGTTAGAGTCATCATTTTCTAAAAGTAAAATAATTAAACATACATTCCTATAGTATGTGTATATTTTATAAAAACTGGAGGTTAAATAGCACATCTGGGGCATCTGGCTTTTCCTGGTAACCCTCCAGGTGACCTCTCTTTTTAAAAGTGGCCTTTTGAGCTTTATTATCTTAACAAGAACCCCCATTTATATAGCTGCTTTCTTTATGGAGCCTGAAGTGCTTTGTTGACCTTGGAATGCCCTTCATGCTTAGGAGGATGTTCTCCCTGGCCCACAGAGCTGACGAGACATTTAGAGGCCAGGAACCAAAAGGCTTGGCTGCAGGCAGTCAGTGGTGAATGTACGTCCAGAACTGTTCTCTCAGCTGGAATGATGCATAATATTTTAGTCTACGGGACCCAGCAGTGTGCTGTCACTACACACTTGAAGAGGCTACAAGGAGTCCAACGTTCTGAGTCAAGTCTGTGCTCTGTCACTTACTGGCTGGTAACCATAAGCACATAGCTCAAATTCCTGTAACCTCCTCTTCCCCACCTGTAAAATGGGATTAATAATTGTCAGGCCTCTGAGCCCAAGCCAAGCCATCGCATCCCCTGTGACTTGCACGTATAGGCCCAGATGGCCTGAAGTAACTGAAGAATCACAAAAGAAGTGAATATGCCCTGCCCCACCTTAACTGATGACATTCCACCACAAAAGAAGTGTAAATGGCCAGTCCTTGCCTTAACTGATGACATTACCTTGTGAAAGTCCTTTTCCTGGCTCATCCTGGCTCAAAAAGCTCCCCCACTGAGCACCTTGCGACCCCCACTCCTGCCCACTGAGCACCTTGCGACCCCCACTCCTACCCACCAGAGAACAAATCCCCTTTGACTGTAATTTTCCTTTACCTACCCAAATCCTATAAAACGGCCCCACCCTTATCTCCCTTCGCTGACTCTCTTTTCAGACTCAGCCCGCCTGCACCCAGGTGAAATAAACAGCCATGTTGCTCACACAAAGCCTGTTTGGTGGTCTCTTCACACGGACGCGCATGAAAATAATACCTACCTCATACATCTGTCATGTAACACTTTAGTGTTCTTCTATATTTGCATAGCTGTATCCTTCCATTAGTTTGTATAGAGCTGACTTAGTATTTTTGGTTGAATAAATGTTGAATGACCTGGCATTGTGTTCATAGCTTTACTTATTGTATTTAATTCTTACTATAACCACCTGGGCTAGGTACAATTATTAGAAGACATGACAAGGTGATAGTTAAAACAGTTAAGAAACTTGCCTGAGTTCATGAACTAGTTGCAATTGGGATTCAAATTAAGGAGGGCGGGTGTAGTGTCTCACACTTGTAATCTCAGCACTTCGGGAGGCTGAGGTGGGTGGATCACCTGAGGCTGGGAGTTCGAGACCAGCCTGGCCAACATGGTGAAGCCCCATCTCTACGAAAAATTAACCAGGCATGGTGGCAGGCAACTGTAATCCCAGCTACTCGGGAGGCTGAGGCAGGAGAATTCCTTAAACCCAGGAGGCAGAGGTTGCAGTGAGCCGAGATGGCGCCATTGCACTCCAGCCTGGGCAACAAGAGTTAAAGTCCGTCTCAAAATAAAAAAACAAACAAATAAGTAAAGTGCTCTGCCTGTAAAGCCTGTGGTCTTGACCAGGATATCATCTTATTCTTGGCCATCTTAGATCTTGACATATACAGTAGGCATATAAATAAATGATAGTGATGTAATATACTAAGAAGACTTGATAAATTGCACCTTATGGTGATCTTGTGTTTTTCTGGCCATTTTCAATGAACCTGGTCCACTTCGGGAAGCCTGTACAGGACCACATAAAAAGTCCACAACTCTCTCAGTGTGAAAGGCCTTCAGGTATTTCTCCCTGGCTGGTGTGTCCCCTCCTCCTCACTCTCATCTTGCCTGGTTTTGTGACTACTCCTTCTGTGCTGTTATTCCTTGCCTTTGGCTTTGCACCTATCTGGTGACCTGGTTTTGAACGTGTTCTTTCTACAGGAGGTCAAATACACCAGTGGTCTGGAATACGGGTGCCTCCAGTAATATACAAGGACTTTCCAAAAGATATGTCAAGGGAGGTTTTAAGTAAGTCAACTTCCAGATCCTCAACTTTTATGTATAGTTTTTCCTAAAACTAACGTTACCTGAGAGAAATCTCATTGAAAAGGAACAAACTCTTATTTCTCACTTTCTCTTTTATTTCTCCCTTCTTACAAAAAAAAAAAAAATACGTGTTTCTTTTCTAATCTTACCAAAAGTGCATGGCCCAAGGGCATAAAGACCTCAAGGATGCCAAACAGAACTGGAAACCATTTGTGCCTGTCACTAAATTTCCAATACTTCTCTCTCAGCCACATTGAAGAAAGATTTAATTGAATTGACAGTTAATGGATCATTAAAAGTAATTTTTTATTATTAGGTTGGGTATACATCAGGATTTTAGACGATTGAGAAATCTTGCTATAACAAAACTTTTTTCCTTCTCATCTTATTTACTAAAGAAAATTTTAGTGTTTTTATTTATGAAAATTAAAACTAGGAATAGAAATTATACTGAACCCTTGTCTCATTCTAGCAATACGGGGGTATCCACAATTCAATTGAAATAAAATTTAATTGAACTAAAAAAATATATATAGTCCCAGCCATCTTATAGGAGATGCAGTTTCAATAAAAATTTGTCTTTTTAAATTATTTATCAAAATACATAATATGTTTATGTTATTTTGACCAATTGGTACTATTAATAGTCATAAAAATAATTCAGTCAGTATTTTAAAATTTATAGCTTGATGGCTAGAAGAAAAAATTTAATTAAAATATCACTGTATATACATATTTTGTAGCAGAGAATCATGATATAATGGTCCATAACACCTTCATGCATAAAATGTATTACATAAAGATAAAATTCACTGGGGAAAGTGGTATGGAAAATGACTTCAAAAGAAAAATAAATAAATGATGTAAACGTTCAGTCTGTTAAAGGAGAGTTTGTTTGTGTATCTTTAAATAGGTGATGGTTGATATCCAATCAGTATTTAGATTCCATTGAATGCATTTTAAAAGGTGATGTAACAATTTTATTTAAAAGTTCAATACTTACAATATTTTATTTAAAAGGTCAATATTTACAATATGGTGAAAATCCATCCATTCAACTACTCTATTTATACTTTAAATCTAAAAGGGGATACTAAATCTTTCAAAATTCTCTTAAAAAGTATATGTGAGCAAACTTTGAAGAGCACTTTATATGTTAAAGAGAGAAAGAAACAACACTCATTTCCATTGTCTGTCAAGTATACAGTAGGTGCTTAATAAAAGTATGTTAAATGGAGGAAGGCTAAAGCCCTTTGTAAATTAAAAATCACTCTATAATGTCGGTAATGCAGCATTGTCACATCGTGTGCCTACATAGGTCATCATAAGAAATCTCATAGATTTGTTTCAAAATGAGAGACTAGCCCAAGCCCTATCCTTATGCATGGTCTTCATCACTTTCACAATACCCTGACAGACTTCGAATACATTTTGCTCTTTGAACCATGTACTACAGCCGATTCAAAACTAAAAGTATCAAAAATAATATTTCTACCAACCACAGTCCAGTGCTGAACCTGATACATTTTAATTCATTTACCTTATTTAAAAATATTTTCTGAATCAAGACTCAAACTTGAAGTCCCTTGATGTGTTTTCTCCGTATGATTGTGGATGCATATTTTATTGATTTTGCTGCAGGAACAGTAATTGCTAAATTGGAACTCCATGAAATGTGTGCATATACCCACAGCAGCTTAATTTATTTAATGGTTTTAAGCTATTTACAAAAAGTGACTTAGGTTTTTTGGCTAGCTCCCTATATTTCTCCTTTCTTTCTCATTCCAATAGTCAATTGAGTCTGGTACGTTTCATTGAGCATATTTGAATGTAGGGCAGAACTATTTTAATGGCACATTTAGTGTCCATTTGTAATAATGTTTTTTGTCATTAAAATGTACACTAGGGAGGGCCATGACAAGAACACTAATTACAGTCATGCAGAAACTGGTATGAAGAGAAGGAGGTCCACTCTCTCACACCCTGTTCCAATTTTTCACCAGCATGCTGACCTCAACAAGACCTCCACTCCCTTGATCCTTCCATTCTCTGCTAGTCCATCAGCTCCCCCTGGTTTGATTTCCTTCCCTACTGAGCCAGGACCCCATGGTGCAGCATTTCAACCTCTTTCTTGTCAGCACCTTTAATTTCCTTAGCCCTTTGCCTTCTGCCACAGACCCACCCTCCCTACCCCCCAAGCCCTGCTAACCTCCAACTCCAGATTCCTTCAGTAATCCATCTTGTCTATGCCATGGAGACTGCCACTGAGACTTCTCTCCAGCACAGCTGAAGAGAATCATATGACCCTTCAGATTGGTGCCACTGCAGTTCTGATCTCAGCTGAATTCTCTACACCATTTCTCAATCTGTCCTGAGCCAGCTCCCACTCACATCTTCCCTCATGGGCTCTTCTGAAACCTGGCTCCATTCACTGTAGCAGATGACCCTGCCCCACATTCTGAGAGAAGAAAGTATGTGGTCCTTTTACTCAGCCAAACTAAAGACGGTGATGGGCTCTCCGACCCAGTGGACCACATGACTAAGGATGAACACAGGGTGGCAGGCACCACTTACTATAGAACCAGTACCTTCACCAGAGAGAAACTATCGTAATTCACATGCAAGAAAAGTGTGAATGTCAGCCAAGACATTTAAGGACCTGCTAAAATCAAAATCCAAAACCTAGTGGTTAACCCCAGGTGCCAGGTAAATAACCTTGTGAACCAAGGGATAAAGTCAGAATGGAAGAGGATGAAAAAGACTAGAAACAAACAGCAAGGAAAGAAAACAGAGAAGTGGGATTGACAGTAAGAGATAGTCAGGAGAAGGTTTTCTTAACCCAGGGTTCGTGCTTAAGAACTCAGGGATTCTATGAACTTGAATGGGGAAAACATTGTGGTTTTATTTTCAGTAATTGTTAGCAGAATTTGAGCATTTCCATCATTAGGAATGCAGGCAGCATATGGTGATAACAGCGAAATCTGTGATTTTGTCACCGAGTGAAATCAGTGATATTTTTGTATTCTATTACAATTGTTGCAGATTTCTCAAAATATTATTTCCATTTGTAATTACTTCAAAATTATGGTAGTTATTAAACACATTACTAGATCTTGTTATTTAATGTGTTAGTAAAGAAGCATATATATTACTATATCGCTAACTTTGTAAATATTTTGCTAACCACGTTACAACATAATTGATTTCCTTTGTAACTCTATGTATTGCATTTTATGAGTCTCAATCTAACATGCATGGATCAGATTCATAAAAAGATGTCATGATAGGATCAAAATTCAATAGCAAAAGCTTCAACACTTTACCTTCTCTTCCTCACAATGTACAAAATATGTCTATATCCATACTTAAGTTTAACTTCCTTCCCTCTTGTTCAGAGAGAAGGTATCCAACCTCTGGTTAATCTGATCCAGAGAATTGTGCCCCTGGTTCCTTCTGTCATCCCCTCCAGAATTGTTCCCTTCAATTACTCATCAATTGTTCCTTCTACATTGTTCCCTTCTTTTTGTCTTAATAGAGATTCCCCCGGTGGCCCTCATTCTTTACCCATTCATTTTTCAGTGTTAACAGTTACTCTACTTACTCTTTATTCTCCTTCCTGTATTTATAAAAGATTTCTCAACCTCAGCATTATTGACATTTTGGGTTAGATAATACATAGTTGTTGAGAGCTGTGCTGTGCACTGTAGGTGTGTGGTAGCATCTCTGGTTTGTATCCCCTGGATTCCAGTAGCACATCCAGCCATCAAAATCAAAGATTTCTCCAGACACTGTCCCATGTTCCCTGGGAACCATAACCATGCCTGGTTAAGAGCCACTGCCTGAAACACTAGTCTCCGTTCACTCTGCCCTCTTCTTCACCTTGCCTTCACTTGCTGTCTCCCTGCAAGCTTGGCTCCACCTGCACCCCTTTACTAAAACTATAGATCCTTTGATCTCTCATTACATTCAAGGTCCTAATCAAACTGAAAGCTTCTACTTAATTGACTTCTTTGTACAATTTGACCATGTAAGCCACACTTTTTTGTTAGTCATCGCTCTCTCCTTAATTTTCCTTCAGGACAATTTTGCTCAATTCTCTTTACTGACCTCCCTTTCTCCACAATGGCTTAAATAGCTATGTTCCATGGGGGGTGCCCACCATACTCTATTCCCTAGGCAATCTCATTATCTCCCATGGCTCTATCACCTCCTTGTTCAGGCCAACCCTGCTCAAGGCTGAATTCAGTTTCTTCTTTCACAAGACTGGCTCCTACTGTAATATTTTCCCAACCCAAATGTTCAAGCCATAAACTTAAAAATCAGTCTAAATATCTCTCTCTGTATATGTATTCAGGCATCAAGTTTTGGCACATCTTCTTGCAAATGTCTCCCAAATCCAGCGCCTCCTCTGTCTTCATTTCCTTCTGTTCTCATTCAGGCTCTTATTATCTTTTGCTTAGATGATTGTATAGCAGTTGGCAATCAGTCAATTCATTGTTACATGAAGAAGTGAATGAATGAGCAAACTGGACTCGACTGTAGTCTCATTACCTCTGTTTCATGCTACACATAATGGCTGGGGTCCTTCCCAAACAACAAATCTGACCATATCTTTCCTCTGCTTAAATTCCTTTAAAGATTCACCATTATCTGTAGAATAAAATCCAAATTCTTATATCTCTATCCCCTAACTACCTTTCCAGCTTCATGTCCCGCTCCCTACTATTTTTGTGTGTGAGACAGAGTCTCACTCTATCATCCAGGCTGGAGTGCAGTGGCACGATCTCAGGTCACTGCAGCCTCAACCCTCCAGTGCTCAAGCTATCCTCCCACCTCAATCTCTCAAGTAGCTGGGACTACATGTGCGCTTCACCATGCACACTACTGTTTGTTGGTTGGTTTGTTTGTTTTTTGATAGTGACAGTGTTCTACTATGTTGCCCAGGCTGGTCTTGAACTCCTGGGCACAAGCAATCTCAAAGTATTGGGATTACAGGCTTGAGCCACCATGTCTGGCCTCATGTACCATTATTTCCTTAATAATAATAGTGATAATGATATCTCACATTCTGATCACTTACTACATCTAAGGCATTATTCTAAGTTCTTTAAATTGACTATCTCATTCTGACCCTATAAAATATTTACAATTAATTTTCTCACTTTTTTATCTGAGCATATTATAACACTTAGCACATTGTATTGTGAAACACTTAGCACATTGTATTGTGAATACATGTGTGACTCCTCCACTAGTCTGTGAGCTTAGGCACCAGAGATCTTTTCTTTTTTATCACTGGACACACAGAACTCAGCACAATGCCTATACACGACAGGTACTCAATCAACACTAAATGAATGAATAGACGGATGATGCTTAATAACATAATGATGATGAAGCTGCACATAGATATGGCACCTTTTATACCAATAGATCTCAAAGTGGGGCAACTCTCAGTTTCAGTGAGTGAGAAGAAAATTCAAACTGGCTCAATCTACAAGTATTTGCTGAATGTCTGCTACAATTAACTCTTATTGTGTTGGAGAAGGTAAAAACTAGGAAATGCAAGGGCAACTCAGAAAGGGTTCATGACAATACCAGGTGTAGAACCAAAATGCAGATGATATGAAATGATTAATAAGTGAGTACAAACCTTCCCTAAGTCATTATCAGGGCTTTTTCCTCTGTATGCAGTGCTTTGAGCAATCTATTTTCTTGGCTTATGCTGTGTACCACAGCAGTATGAATCATATCACAAGAGGCAAAGGAAACTAACCATACTTTGATTACCTTCATGTTTAATATGTCCCCTTTGTGTAGCATTTTCCACTTTGAATTGTTTTCACATATAATATCTCACACAGTTGGTGTGATCTCTAGAATTTTTGAGTTAAAATAAAACCTTGAAAGATTAATCTACGCTTCTTCAAATTGGAAAATAATGAAAGTGAGGTCCAAAGCCTTATATGATTTTCTTGAACCTCAATGCCCTGTAAGATTATCAGGAAATGTGCAAATAGGTAAAAGTTAAAAGATAGAAGAGGGTCCACCAGACAAATATTACCCCAAAGAGCTGGTATAAAAATGCAAGGAGAACTAAAAACTGAATTATAGCATACAAGTAAGGGGAGAAGGTTATCAGACGTAAAGTATTTTAAAGCATCTATACTGTTAGTGAGAAGGATAAAGATACTGATTAAATTTAGATTTTGTTAGGTTAAGTACACATGTTAAAATTTTTAGAGTAGATTTTCAGCTCTTTCTGTATTTTTGTTCTAAAACTAAGAATTTGGGGAGGAGCAAACCAGGGGGACTTACAAAGACCCAGAAAAGGTTATCAGAGCCCAGGTAGAGAAATAAATGGTCTAGATAGAAGGATAGTCCTTCTATATGGGAAATTAGAGCCACAGTGAGGTAAGGAGAACATCCATGCAGAGGCACATGAGAATGTCCATATGGGGTCTAGAAGCTAAAGGTAAGAAAGGCATCCCAGCAGAGAGGTATCTCAGGACTGGATATCAGAGCCTGAGCAGGGTGAAGACAGCATTCATCGAGGGGGATAGCCCACCATGGGAGATCAGAGCTGAAGCTGGGAGAAGGGGGTATCCATACCAGAAAAGGACAGGAAGAGGATGTCAGAGCCTGTTCAAGATGAGGAGGGCATCTTTGCACACTGGCAGCTTAGCATGGAAAGGAAGGAATATAATCAATCTCCCATCACGAGCACTTCCTTTCTAAGGCGATGGGAGATTGATTACAAAGATTGATTATACAGAAAGTGATTAGTAAGTAAACGTGTAATAAAGTTAATGGGAAGCAAGCGTCTCACAGTCAGAAGAGACTTATAAACATGGAAAGAGTGAATGAACTATTTGGTGTTGGATTGGAATTGAAAGTATCATTACTAATCACAGTTTTTAACATGCAAGTAAATATATAGAGAAAAATAGAGAAGTGTGTGAATATATGTCTATGAGGACTCAGAGAAATAAATGAGTTCATTATTGGGGTAGAGAGAGTACAAGATGAACCTGGAATAACTTAATTTGTCAGAAAGCAGAAAAATGTTCAAAGAAGGTTGGGGACATGTCAAAAAGACATAAAAGCCAAGTTCAAGAGGCTCCCACTGACCCCACTGGGTACAACCACAGTATCTAAATAAGTGTTGATAATGACAAATACATCCCATTGGAAAAAAATGAGAAACCATGGGTCCATACATAAAATAATACTAAATGGAACGTTTGATGGAATATAGAGTTTCAAAGCACTTCCCACTCATTATATACAAAGTGGAAAGAATAATTACACTAAAGAAGCCTGGCAGACACCACCTTAGTCAAGTGAACATTATCATCAGTAATTGGACAAATCAAGCTGCCATGCCACCTGATAGGATGCAATGAGAAGAATCACTCCATGTTATTCCTGCCAAAGATGTATAACCTGAATAAAAATGCATAGCCTGAATGTGATCATGAGGAGGCATCAGACAAGTCCAAATTGAGGGGCATCCTATAACCTTCAAAAGTGTTTAGGTCATGAAAAACAAGGATAAACTGAGGAACTGTCCTAGACTGAAGGAAACAAAAGTAACATGGGAACCAAAGTAGTAAGTGAAGCCAACCTGTGATCCCGAACTGCATCATTTTCACCTAAAAGACATATGGGGAATATCTGGTGGTATCCACCTGTGAAACTTGGATGTGGTCTGGAGATTTGATGGTAGTAATGCATCATTGTTAATCTCCTGATTTTTGATTATTGTGTTGTGGTAATATAGGAGAATTTCACTGCTTATAGGAAATACACACAAAAAAATTAGAAAGAATTGGGCATCAGGTCAGAAATTCACTATCAAATGCAGAGGAAGAAAAGTTCAATTGATGCAGAATGAGAAACTTCCAAACTAGCAGAAGGGGGAGAATGGAATGAAAGGGGAAAAACTTGTATCAATTCAAAAATGGTTAAAAGAGAAGAAAACAGAAAAAGTGGAACAAACAGTACAAAAATAAATAAAAATAAATCTAAATATGTCATTACTATGGTAAAAGCGTGGATTGTCAGATAGGATTTAAAGGAAAATATTGAGCTATATGCTATTTAACAGAGATATGCCCCAAACCTAAAGGCAGAGCATAGCTTAAAATTAAAATTTTAAAAAAGATGTACTATGAAAATACTAACCAAAGAAATTATTTTCATTGTATTTCCAAAAAGTTAGAAATCAATAATAAAAAGATAGCTTTGAAAACCTGGTAAGTTTGGAAATTCTGAAATGCCCAATCTTAAGAACTTTTGGTCAAAAACAAAATTCTAATAAAAATTAGAAAATATTTACACATATAATAATGGAAATATTCTATATTAAAATTATGACAATACAGAAATTAGAGAATAATTTAAAGGCTTAGAAACATATACTAGAACAAAGAAAATATAAAAATTAATTATCTAAATGGGCCTCAAACTTAAGAATTTACAAAAAGAATAGAATAAGCCAAAAGCAACTCAAATAAGTAAAATTATAACAATAATAAAAGAAACTAATAAAAACAAACATACAAATATAAAGACTAATGTAATCAACAAGTATCTTTTGAGTACCTATAGGAGTCAGGCATAACTCAAGTTATCATAGAAACATCAATGATCAAAACAAGCCAAAATCCCTACCCTTATGTACTTTATGTATAAATGGCTTGAAATATATCAGAGGTAAATATTTTTAGATATATAATAAAGTCATAAAGACAGTACAGAGAGTTCCTCTATATCCCTCAGCTAGCTTCCCAAATTGTTAACATTTTACATTACCATTGCCCATTTGTCAAAACTGAGAAAATAACACTGTTACACTGATGCTTCTCCACTTAAGATGGGGTTATGTCCGAATAAACCCATTGTAAGTTGAAAATATCATGAGCTGAAAATTCATTTAACACACACCTAAGCTACTGAACATTATAGCTCAGCCTAGCCTACCTTAAATACTCTCAGAACACTTATATTACCCTATAGTTGGGCAAAATCAACTGGAAACACAGGACCCTAGAGGGTATTGGTTGTTTTTTCTCATGATCATGTGGCTGACTGGGAGTGGTAGCTCACTGCTGCTGCCCAGCATCTCAAGTGTATCATAGTGCATATCACTAATCCAGGAAAATTTCAAAATTCAAAGTTCTAAGAACAGTTTCTACTAAATGCATATTGCCTTTACACCATTGTAAATTCAAAAAAACTGTCGAACCATCCTAAGTCAAGGACCAGCTGGATCGTTAATAACAAATCCCAGATTTTATTCAGATTTCACCTAATTTACCTATAAATGTACTCTTTCTGTTTATTCACTTTTATAGACTCCAGCTCTCTGTTAAAATATATCATGTTCCTCTGTTTTCTTGAACATTTTAATACTAGTTATTTAATAGTCTATGTCTAATAACTTCAATTTCTGGGTAATTTATGGTTCTGCTTTTATTATTTATTTTATTTCTTAATTTTCATCAATTTGATTTTGTTTCTTGATATTCTTGGTGTTTTGGTAATTTATGACTACATACTGGACATTGCATATGACAACATTTAGGTTCTGGATGATATCCAAACCAGAAAAGATTTCATTTCTTCTGACATGCAAAGTAAATGCAGATTATCTTGTTCCAGTCAAGGCTATGTTTCTGTCATCATGAAGGCCAATCTATTTCTGGTTTGCCCTTATTTCCAAGTTTAGCCTTTAGTCTTGAAATTTAACTGTTGAAGGAGCACAAATGAAAGCTTCCCGTGTTCATCTGAGCCACTTCACCCTTGCAGGTCCTAAACTTCAACCTCTTTCATCTTTAGCATGGCAACACTGCCCAGGGCAGTTGCCTTTATACAATTTTACCTACCTGTCATCTACCTGTCCCAATCCATCTGTAGTGGTTTTTTTTAATTTTTTTTTAATTTCCCATAGTTTTTTGGGGAACAGGTGGCATTTGGTTACATGAGTAAGTTCTTTAGTCATGATTTGTGAGATTTTAGTGCACCCAACATTTGAGCGGTATACACTGAACTCAATTTGTTCTATTTTTTACTTTTTTAAGTTGATGCATAACAATTGTACATATTTATGGGGTACAGAGTGATGCTGCAATACATATAATGTATACTAATCAGATGAGAGTAATTAGCATATCATCATCTCAAACATTTATCATTTCTTTGTGTTGACAACATTCAGTGTCCTCTGTCTAGCTATTTGAAACTACATATTATTATTAACTATAGGCATCCTACAGTGCCATAGAACACTAGAACTTATTTTTTTCTAACTGTAATTTTGTATTATTTAACAAACCTCTCCCTATCCCCTCTTTTCCCTACTGTAGTGCTTTTGTTTTTTTTTTTGAGACGGGATCTCACCCTGCTGCCCAGGCTGGAGTACAGTGGCGGGATCTCGGCTCAGGTAGTTGCATGTTTCTAAGATATTTATCTGTATTCTTTAATCATCACAACAAACCCATGAGGCAAGTATGTGAGTCTTGTTCAGGGATTTTGTTAAATAATATGTTTCCAATATTTGTCTGAAACATAGTGCAGTAGACATACAATTAATATTTGTTGAATTAAGGAACTCAGAGAATAATAAAGATGAGAATGGGAAAAATGAGAAACTATTTTTTTGCCTATCAAACTGAAAAAGATAATAAAATTATGGTACTCATTTTCAAAAAGGACCTGGTGAAATGAACATATTTCCATATTTTGTGTGATAGTATATGCTGATATAGCCCTTTTAGAAGGGCTATTTACACGTTTGTGAAACACTTACTAAGTATCCTATGGTGTATCACATGTGCTTTGGCATTGTGACATCAAATGTCTTAACATGTTTCCTGACCTCCAGCATCTTTTTGGAAACATATATTAGCAGCTTTAAAACTATTCATTACCATTTCTTTCTAACCAAGTGTTTAATAATTTCAGTTCTGGAACTAAATCCTAAGAAATTAATCAGAGATATTTTATTTCATTCATTTATCTAATGTATTGAGTACTTAGTCTAATAATAACAACTAACACTTACCAAGTGCCTTGGGCAACATAACGCCGTAATTAAGAGCATGGACTCTGAAGCCAGATTGCTGAGGTATTTTTAAATCTTGGCTCTGCCACTCACTAACTCGATCCCGGGCAAAGTCACTTAACCCAACTATGTCTCAGTTTTCTCATGTGAAAATGGAAACAATGATAATTTGGTTGTGAGGATTAAATGAGTTGTCATTTATAAAGTGCTTACAACAGTGCCTGGCACATATTATGAAGTGCTATATGTGTTTTTGTTTTAATCATGTGTTAGCTTCTATTCTAAATGTTTTACTTGTACTAATTCGTTTAATTCTCACAGCTACTCTATAAGGTAGGTACTATGATTATCTTTATGTTATGGGCAATAAAATGGAGCCTAAAGGAGGTGGAGTAACATACTCAAGTAAATTGTTGAGCAGGATTTAAACCCAGGTTGACCAGCTCCAGAGCCTGTGCATATAATCATTAACCTCAATGGCATTCCCAGCACCATTGTAGGCATCAGATCACTGTACAGCTAGAGTTCCTATTCCCAGGAAGGCAAGGATGATGATAATAAAGAGCAGGTAAGAGTAATAAAGGAGTAAGATAATTTTAGGTTGTAATGAATGCTATGAAGAATACAAAATGAGTAATGTGCTAGAATACAGCTGGCAGGGACGCACAACAGCATTTGATAGGGAAAAGAAGTCTCTTTGAGAAGGTAACATCTAAACTCAGAAACTAAAAGACCGGGACATATGAAGATAACTGGTTTATATAAATGGAAATTCTTCACTGCATTATTAAAAAAATAGTGGGAATAAACTAAAAGTCCAAAATAAATGAATAATTTATTATTACAGCATATTCCAAAGATGACAGCATACTAACTAGCCATTAAAAGTCTAAGAATATTTTAAAATACAGGAATATAATACATTATAAAGTTAAATGAAACAAGTAGAAATTCAAATACACATATAGTTTAATTTCTATTTTATTTACTATATATATACACATAGGGAAACACGTATTTATACACTTTAAGCAGATCTACGTATACATAGAAAAGGGGCTGGGAGGAAATATAAGAAAACATTTACATCGATTAACTGTTTAGTGGCAATATTATAGAAAATATTATTTTCTTTGTCATATTTTTTATATTTTATAAATTTTCTAGAACCAGAAAAGAATTAATGTTTTTACATAAATCCCATCAACAAAAAATATCTATGAACAGAATTTTAATTGTTTGTTGACTCACAATGCTCTAGGAATTTATGTATTATCTTACTTGTGTATTTTATGAATCAGAAAGTTGACACTTAAAAAGATTAAATAACTTATCCAAGGGCATACATTTGGTTGAGTTGTAAGAGTCAGATTCAAACCATATCTGTCTGATATCAAAATCTATGAACTCACTACAGAAGCTTTTTGTTTTTGCTTTTACAGCATATATTTCCATTCATAATAATAATCATAAAACTAATATCTGTTAAAACAAGTTAACTAATACTAACTTATAAAAGAAAAAGTCAAGCAGAGTTGTTTTTAGGGTAAAAAATTAGAAATAATCTGAAATCCAATAAAAATAGTATATTAATTGATGCATACCTATATGCTATTAAACAGACATTAAAAACACTATTTGAGATAATTATCTGATGAGGGAAAATACTTATGAAATGTAAAGGAAATTAAAGGCAATATAAAAATATTCAACATCATACAGTTCAATTCCAACAAGGCAAAAAACATAATCCAGGAATTTTTAAAAAGTAGATAGAAATACACTAACCCATTAGTAATTATATTTCATTGATAGGATAATGAGGGATTTCTTTTTGCTGTTGTGTATTTTTTACACTTTCTGAAATGAGCGTATATATTATACTGGTAAAAGGCTAGACTACTTGGATTTGGGTTTTTTTGTTTGTTTGTTTGTTTGTTTTGAGACGGAATCTGTCTCTGTCGCCCAGGCTCGAGTGCAGTGGCGTGATCTTGGCTCACTGCAAGCTCCGCCTCCCGGGTTCACGCCATTCTCCTGCCTCAGCTTCCCGAGTAGCTGGGACTACAGGCGCCCGCCACCACGCCCGGCTAATTTTTTTGTATTTTTAGTAGAGTCGGGGTTTCACCGTGTTAGCCAGGATGGTCTCGATCTCCTGACCTCGTGATCCGCCCGCCTCGGCCTCCTAAAGTGCTGGGATTACAGGCCTGAGCCACCACACCTGGCCTGGACTACCTGTATTTGAATTGCAGTTCTACACTTACTAGTTGCATGAAATTGGGCAAATTTCTTAACTTCTCTGTGATTCAAATGTATCACTCCGTAAAACGACAGTAACAATAGAATCACTCTCATAGGATTAAGTGAATTAATATAAATAAACTAGTTAGAACAGTTCCTAGCACATAATAAGCACTCTATAACTGCTAGATATTATTATTCCATCTTTAATGGAAAAAAATCAACTTGTTTAAGAAGAGAAAAGCGTGACTATATTGAAACATAATTCAAGAATTCCTTTTTTATTCTCTATATTTTATGGACATTAAAATAGCTGATATGTGGATAAAAATGTTGCTTCTTTGGATTCTGCTTACAAAATAGACACTTGAAGCTTTTTAAATGGTTCTTTTCCTTTTTCCATTTCAAATCCAGCTATTCAGCACATTCTGTTGATAACTACTTTTATATTTGGAAGCCCAGTTTTACTTAGGGACAAGATTAACACCTAGTAGGGCTGGTTTAAAAAAAACAGTAATAGATAATGATAGATAATACACAACATTCCCAGAAGCCAAAATAAGAGTCATGAGCTCTACATGTCAACATGGTAGATGTGTTTTCCTCCTTGCCAGTATCGATCCCTGCTTCCTCAATCTCAGTGATTGGTCCCATCTCCCTTCCCAACCCTTGTGAAGGATGGCAACATTTTCGAAGTCTGTTCAATGACATTTCTACCTAGGACTTCTACAGGAACTATTGGTAGAGCAGTATTTGCTTCCCACTGTTAGGGTTAAATTCTGGGGTTGCTATTAGGCATTTTTTGTCACTACCCTGGGAAAGACTGCCTGAGAATGAAGTCTAATAAAGAAGTCAGCCAAAAGATGAAGACCATATCTTGTCAGCATCACTGCCAAGATGCATCTGTGGCTAAAGCCAAATGTACCTGTGGACATCCAAATTACTTAAGCCAATTAATTCCCTTTTATGCTTTAACTAATTGGAATGCGTTTGTCACTAATGACCAAAAAGGTCCTTATTAATGCATTAGTGATTTCCCATTTAATATTCAAAATAACACTATGAAGTAATACTATTGTCACATCTATGCATTAACAAATTAATGCATAAATTATACAAAGGTCATATAATTTACCTAAAAACTGGTAACCAGGAACTGGTAGAACCAAGATTTGCTCTCAGGCTGTCTAGGCAGTCCAGTCCAGCTCATAGCGATTTCCTTCTTTGTGACCTTACTATACTCTGCACATTCTTCTATCAGTCCCCCTGTAAGCTTTTATTAGTTTTTCTCTGTCTCTTCCTGTTACTCTGGGAGCCTGTCCTCTTATCGTCAATGGGAAAGATGCTGAATAAATGTTTGTCAAATACACTAGCCTCTGCCCAACCAACTTTAGTTGGGAATTTTCATCCTTGTTAAAAGAAAGTATTTCTTGGCTCATGGACCTCACACACAGATTCAAACTAGCTAGACTTCTCCTGAAATTTTCAAGGCACATGTTAAGGTCTGTGTTTAGTTATAGTGTTGACCTGTGACATCATCAAAACTACTACAAATAGAGCTAAGTCAATAGAATCTTTGAAAGCGTAAGATCCTTTTTATATTTAGTAACACCCTAGCCATTCCAAATGTAACCCACCTTTTAGTTACATAGAATGTGCAAGTGTCACAATTGTTTAGGTGTCATAACACCAATGAATTTTATATCATATTAAAGTAAAGCCCTTTCATTCAAAATTGACCAAAGTAGAGTCAATTTAACATTTTTTCAAGGCACTACTCTCTCTCTCTTTTTCTCCTTTCTCTCTGTTTCTCTCCCCTCCGCCACCCCGCTCCTTTCTCTACCTTCCTCCCTCAAAATGTGACCTTATTTGGAAGTAGAGTCTTTGCAGATGTAATTAGTTGAGGCAAAAAAAGAGGTCATTCTGGAGTAGTATGGGGCTCTAATCCAGTATGATTTGTGTCCTCATAAGAAGAGACACAGACACAGGGAGAATGACATGTGAGGACAGAGGCAGAGATTGGAGTGAGGCATCTAGAGGCCAAGGAATGATAGGGATTAGCTGCAACACCAGAGTTCAAAGAAAGGCATAGAACAGATTCTCCCCAAGAGCCTTCAGAGAGGGCCTTGCCAACAACTTGCCTTTAGACTTGTAGCATTCAGAACTGTGGGAGAATGAATTTCTGTTGTTTTAAACCATCTGGTTCATGATATTTTGTTACAGCAGACTTAGGAAACTAATACAGTACCCATGGGCAATAAATAATATACCTAACTCACAGAGCCATTAAAGAGATTAAATGAAATAAAATATACAAAGAGTTTAGCAGTGCTGGCACGTAGCAAATATTCAAAGAATGATAGTTATTATCATCAATCCTTTTTTTTTTTTGAGATGGAGTCTTTCTCTGTCGCCCAGGCTGGAGTGCAGTGGCACGATCTCAGCTCACTGCAAGCTCTGCCTCCCTGGTTCATGCCATTCTCCTGCCTCAGCCTCCCGAGTAGCTGGGACTACAGGCGCCCGCCACCACACCCAGGTCATTTTTTGTTTTTGTATTTTTAGTAGAGACGGGGTTTCCCTGTGTTAGCCAGGCTGGTCTCAATCTCCTGACCTTGTGATCCGCCCGCCTCGGCCTCCCAAAGTGCTGGGATTACAGACGTGAGCCACCACGCCCGACCCATCAATACATATTTTTTAAAATTTTATACCATAAATTATAACAGAAATTAATATAACTCTCCCAGAAAGAAACAATATGTCCCTACTCCTGAGCTTTTAATTTAAAAGGATGGAACACCTTACATCTCCCTACTCAGGGGCCTCCTCCAGTAATGGTAACTGAGCAGCATGCTGAGGATACAGAAGTTCTGGCCTAGCCATTAAAACTCAGCCTTTGAGGAACTCTAGTTGACACCACTTCCATTTCTTTGTCTGGAAGCGGAAGACAGACCTAGTCAATAGGCATCCCTCACACCCCCAAAAAAGGAACCATCAATCTCAGCCTAGGTGACTGTCACATTGAACATTTTCAGGCAGCTTTTTCAACCTTGGAGGTTTGGGCAACCTGCCAGTAATGAAGATGTATTAATGCTTAATGCAGCTTAATGTAATAGGTGTCATGTTCATAATTTACAGAAGCTCTTTCTAAAGCATTAAATTCATTTATACTCCTTAAAAGCTACTCAATCGTGGGGGCTAAGTTAGTTTGGTAGGGCTTCTTTTTTAGGATCAAATGATATATAAATTGTTAACATATCCAAACTCATCCATTAGTGCATGTGAAAGCAATAAATGTGCCAAAGTAGCAATAACGTGATCGAGGAAAGTCATTGTGGTCATTAGGGCTGAAAGGGTTTCATTTATGGCCCTGAGAAAGAGAATGAAGGCTGTAAAATAGACCCAGGAGGTCCCACTGACCAGAAGTCCTGACTTATTGTGCTCAAATAAAAATAAAACAAAATGTACATTTTAGGTTTTCAAAAGTGACAATGGATTGTGCCCTCTATTTTGTAGTGAGTTGTCCCTCGTGCTTCCAACTACCATTTTGAAAAAAGAAAATGGAATGGATTGATGAGGCCTTCTCATCTCAACTGTCTGCTCATAGAATATTGATTGGCCTCTTGGTAAATAACTCTAAGCAAAACAGGGGGGCATGACTAATGAGAGCCCTTGCTTGTTGGACAGATCTGGGAGGTCAGTAATTGATGGAATTATAAATCCTAGCATGGCATTTCCAAAGTAGTCCCAGGATCAACATAGGAATGAGAAGAAGCCATAGCTTTGTATATCAGATTAGGGTAACCACTATCTATTACCCCATTATGATCTGCTGACAGCCACCATTACTCATGTCCCTGTGAGTCAAGTTCTCCACCCCTCCAAAAAAATATTGCAGAGTGCCAAGAAGCACTGCAAAAATAAAAGGTGGGAAACCAAGTTTAAAAATTTGTTAAAGTTATTCCAGCTAAGTTAGTGCAGGTCAGTCTTTGGTATAAGTAGAATCACTTGGGAGCTTTTAGAAACTAGCAAGATCTTGACCCACCCTAAACAATTAAATCTCTGGGGGTGGGGCTTGGCCACCAGTATTTTTAAAGTACTCCAGGGAATTCTCATGTGCAGCCAGAATTAAGAGCCATTAATTTAACTAATATTTAGGAGCAGCTACAAAAGCTTTAAGTAACCATGGTACAACATATTAGTCATGTCTTCTTACTTAGAGCTCTCCATGGAGCAATGTTTTACAAACATTTGGTGCTTGCCTAGGTATTCCCTTCAAGAGTTTAACAATTTGTTCAGGTCTCCTCACCTAGAGGCCTCTGAAATAAAAGGTAATCCTCCACCCAGAAGTCTCTTACGTGACTGAAAGCTAAAAAGTTCATTCTCTGTTAAAAAGTCAAGCTCTGTTGTTGATATCAGGGCACCTGCCTTCCTGGGTTTACAAAGCATTCTAGGTTCTGCAATGGCTCTGGCTATCACTCATCTGGACAAACAGCTGGACCAGTGATCACCAGAGATTCTACAGAGGGAAAATCCTGCTGAAGATGTCGCTATTGGCTCCTGTTTTGTCTATGAAAAGCCAAACTTTATCTTCATGGCAGAAGAGCTGAAATCAGGAGTCTCTGCTCAGCAGAGGCTGAGTCTAGGTGGGGCAAGGGGCAAATATGGGGGTTGGTGGGAGCACTAACTAAAATCCAGGCAGCACACTAGAGGATCAGGGAGTAAGTGTATCTAACAAGCTCTAATTAAGTCATGTCATGTAGCCAGATTCGACTTGGAGAAAGAAATGCCTACAGTAATTGCATTTAGTTCATCTTGTAGCATGCTCCCAATCATAACTGTTAATTCAATTGTATGTTCATTCTGCCAGCTCATTGCCATTAAGCACACATTTAATTACTTCAATAAAGGATTAATATGCAGCACACAAAAGGAGGGACAGAAGACTGTGCCAAAGCACACAGCTGCCCCAGCATTTAGCCCAGAGATAAAACAAGAATATCATTGGGCAGCATAATCCTGCTCCAAATACATCATTATTAGATGAACATTCCAGACTTTTATTTTCATGCTTGTTATGCACCATTCCACATGCATATATTTCTGTAGCACCAGAAAGAGCTGTAACAGGAACCTGACAGCTTTCCATTGTTGTCTCAATCACGCACCCACCACTCCCCCATCCCCTGTCTTCCTCCATGCTTGTAAGGTTGCGCTTATCTCATTTCCAGGCAAAGGCTTACAGTCCCTACATTACAACATCCTGAGATAAGGGCCCTCGCTTGACATTGTTCCTGCCAGTGCTGCAAACAAGTGACAAACCTGGCATGTATAAAAAGAGAGGGAGAACAACAAAGCCAGAGCTCCCTCCTCCTCGCCTCCTCCCAACTCCACCTCAAAGGACAGCCCATCAATTCTCCAGGATGTACACAATCATTATTGTAGGGGAAACAAAGGCCAGTGTCAATTGTGCAGTGTTATAAAGCAGTCCCTCAAATTAAAACCATGTACCTAACTGCATCTGATGGCAGAAGCTATTTAGCAGTGATATTTTACAGAAAGGCAATGAAAAGCAATAACTGCTTTATTTAATGTATCTGTTCAATCCAGCTGCCCTGGATAGGCCTTAATAGAAGCTGTCGATCAATGTCAGGCCCTTAGAAATAACTGCACCAGACTGCAATAAACATGAAGGAAAGATAACTAGAACTACTGATCAGCCTCTTGTTACCTTTCCTGCACCCAGAGATTTGTCATTTGTTTATACTGCTCATAATAGCTGGCTCGATGATTATCATCTTGCCCGCCTGGTATTGTGGTGGGCACATCAAGGCAGGGAGCCAGAGAGCAGAAGACGCAAGCTTGGAAGAGGAGGGAGGAGGAAGAAATATGAGATGTAAGACCAAAAGGTGAGGAATAAGAAAAGAAAGTTTGTTCAGGACATGAGAGGTTAAATCTTATAAAGTGTGCATGCTGGCTGCCTTGTTAAAATATTAACATCACTTATACTTTCTTTGCCATCTCTTGACGGACCTTCCCTTAAGATTAATGGAATAAGGCATGAATTTGTAGTTTCAGTGTCTTGTCCAGCAAATCCTAGCGCTATCAGGAAGACACTAACAAGGCCTATAACCAAGATAGCCCATACTCAACCATGACTTAATTTGCCTTCTCTGCACATCCACTCTGAATGTTCCCCCATGCTCCAGTCTCAGCCTTCTCCAATTCATTTTAATTTCTATCCCTGTACAAGCTCATCCTCTCTTATCATTACCATCTGTAACAGGGGTTAGCCATCTACAACCCATGGACCAATCTAGCCAGCAGCCTGTTTTTATAAATAAAGTTTTATTGGAACACAGCCACACCCAAGCATTTAGGTTTTGTCTATGACTGCTATGGCATTAAGATAGCAATTAAGTAGTTGAGACAGATACTATGTTGTCCCCAAAGCCTAATGTATTTACTATCCGGCCCTTTACAGAAAATGTTTCTCAATCTCTGATCTGTTTATATCATTTCAAAATGTGTATTTCAGCCCAGATCTCTCTACTCATCTCTAGATCTGTGTTTCCATCTGCCCCTTGGTCTCCACCTCCTGGATCCCTCCATCGGGCTGTCTCCATGCAGTGTATATGTAACATGTCCAAAACCTAATTCATTTTATAGTTTCTCCAGTTTTGTATCTCCAGTCATGGCCTCACCATCTGTTTTAACAATACAGACCAAAAAAAAAAAAAGCTATTTTTTTTAGCATTCTTTATTTAGCAACTATTTATTTAGCATTAAGTACCTCCCAGGCATCATTCCAAGTACTTTCCACGTGTTTATTCATTTAATCCTCACTAAACTCTGTAAGACAGAGTAGGTCCTATTATCATCCCCATAATCCCCATAAGGAAGCCAAGGCTTAGAAAAGATTCAAGACTTGCAAGGGTCACATACTTTGCAAATGACTACATGGGGATTTGAACCCAAGACTATCGGTCTCAAAAGCCCAAGATTTTCTTCATATCTATAATGCTTTTCTCATATTATAGAAATCTTTGATAGTTCCCTACTCCCTACTAAGGACCAATGTTAATTCATATGACATTCAAACTTTCAATTTTTCTTTTTACGTGTTCTTCTTCCATCACACACTATCTCATACCACTCTTGACATGTACTAGTCCATGAACATGTGATGTGATTATGGAGCTAATATGCCACTTCCCCTGGAAATTCTCCCTAATCCCCACACCCACTCTCACCTTCCTAGCAGAATTAATTGTCCTTTCCCTGGTGTCCTTATGTACTCTGGTCAAACTACAGGAAAACACTTATCAAACTGTGCTATATCTACACATTATATTATACCTCCTCAGATAGGTTCCAGACCTTTGAAATGAAAGATAATTTCTTAACACATATTTTCTAGTGCCTAGAACTTATATAAGTAATGAATAAATGTTAGTTTAAGGTTTCTTCCAGACTCACACCATTCCAATTCATTTTTTTTTATGGTTCCATAGTGAGCTTTCAGAAACACAATTTGGATCATGTGGTTTCTATTTAGATGGACTCATAGCTTCATCTTTATGTACAGGATTTCAAGGTCCAAACTCCTTTGCATGCTGTGAGGCTCACTACATAGGTCCACACCGCAACCTCATTTTCAGCCATCTTAATCCACCTCCTAATCTCATTTTCAACTTCTGTCTTTTCCACACCCCAGACACAGACTTAGCATCAGCCATACTGAACTACTGGGCCTCTGCACATGCTTCCCTGTCTTCCAGGACTCTTCCTCTCCCTGTGGTCCTCTTTGACAACCTCTGTTTCTTTTTCATGACCCAGGTCAAATGTCTTCTACTCCATGAAACCTTCCTCACCAGAGGAAAGTTGACCTCCTTTATTTTGGGTCTCCATGTAATAATGATAGTAGTATTATTACAGTGTAGCCATCTGTGTTGTGTACTTTAGATAGGTTAGATTGTTTAATCTCCACAAAAAGAGGTCAGTACTATTATTCCCATTTTTCTGGCTGTAGGTATACATGTCTTCTAAGAAAGACTTGCTCTACCTTCTCTGCCTAGACACCCAGAATTTATTTTATTCTAGATGAAGAGAAATCTCGATTATCTCACTCTACCTGATTGACTCTCTGAATTCCTCTTCTGGGAGACCGTGGGTGAAATACAACATGTAAGCACAGCAATATGTGGCAGTCATTATAAGCACTAGAACCTTGTCACAGTGAACGAGTGATCGTTGCCCCATATTGGTCTTTCTGTTGAAAACAAGTGAAACAGAGCAGCAGACTTTTAAAGGATCTCTTTCCAAATGGAGACTGAAACTGTAGGGTGCTTTGGTTAGTTGGAAGCTTTATTTGTACTTTGACTTTGGTTTGGAAGGACAACATTTTGAAGATTTTCTTATCAGTAGTTAGTCAATGATTACTAAGGTAATTGGGTTCTCTGATGTGATGGATTGAAGTGCCCAAGAAGATGTCACTCTCAAATGTAATCTCTGTGAGTCTTAAGCACCACCTTTCTTGGTCCAAAGAAAGGCAAACTGAGACACAAGAGAAGAGAAAAATACTATGCACATTATAAAAATCTTCCATTTGTAAACTTAATAGGACAAATTGAGTTTTGAGAAAATACTTCCATAACTAAGGCATCTGGCATAATGAAAAAAAAATAGAATTTAGATAGCCTTGTTGATTTATTGTTGCTTAACAGTTAAAAGGAAATTGTTGAGATTCCTGTCTTATTTTGAAGAAATTAGCAGCTTCTTTCATCAGCAAATGTATATTTTTTGTTTATGAGAAGCATATAAAGACATTATTGATAGCACTATGAAAATTATATGCTAAAAAATTACAACAGCCCAAACTCCTACAGCCTTAAAGAAATTGAGGCATATCTAACAGGAATTGGTGCTCAAGGTTTTTTTAAGCTCACTTGCCTCACATTCATCTTCCATTATTTTTAGTTGGTCCCTATGGGAATCTATGATGGAGCTTGGAGAATGTTTCCTTATGTTCTTTTAATTTCAAGAGCACTTGCTATTTTTTTTTTAAGTTCTGTTATGGGCTGCCTGTTTGTGTCCCCCAGAATTTCATGTATAGGTACACTAAACCCCGGTGGGATTGTATTTGGAAGTGAGGCCTTTGGGAAGTAAGTAGGTTTAGATGAGGTCATGAGGATGTTGTCCCAGTGATGGGATTCATGCCTTTATAAAAAGATGAAGGTTGAATTTTATCGAAGGCCTTTTCTGCATCTATTGAGATAAACATGTGGTTTTTGTCATTGGTTCTGATCATACAATGGATTACGTTTATTGGTTTGTGTATGTTGAACCAGCCTTGCATCCCAGGGATGAAGCCAACTTGATCGTGGTGTATAAGCTTTTTCATACGCTGCTGAATTCAATTTGCCAGTATTTTATTGAAGATTTTCACATGGATGTTCATGAGAGATATTGGTCTGAAGTTTTCTTTTTTTGTTGTGTCTCTGCCGGGTTTTGGTATTGGGATGATGCTGGACTCATAAAATGAATTAGGGAGGAGTCCCTCTTTTTTAAGGCACTTATACACCATGGAATACTATGCAGTCATAAAAAAGAATGAGATCATGTTCTTTGCAGGGACATGGATAAAGCTGGAAGCCATCATTCTCAGCAAAACTAACAAAGGAACAGAAAACCAAACTCCCCATGTTCTCATTCATAAGTGGGAGTTGAACAATAAGAACACATGGACACAAGGAGGGAAACATCACACACCAGGACCTGTTGGGGGATGGGGGCAAAGGGAGGAAGATCATTAGGACAAACACCTAATGCATGCGGGGCCTAAAACCTAGATGATGGGTTGATAGGTGCAGCAAACCACCATGGCCCATGTATACCTATGTAACAAACCTGCACATTCTGCACATGTATCACAAAACTTAAAGTAAAATGAAAGATAAATAAAAAATAAATAAATTGTTTAAAAAAGATGAAGGGACCAAAGCCATCTAGTCTGCGGTATTCTGTTATAGCAGCCTGAGCTGACTAAGATAAGTCCCAATAAGTTTTTCCCCCAAAAAAGTATTAATGCTTTTTGGAAATTACTTATTTTATCAGATAAGAAAATACCATTTTGATGGGAAAATATCTAACATTATTTTAGGCCAAATATTAAACTAATTCAAATTTGCCCTCTCTAACCTTTTTTTAGATTTGCCCTACAGGCTGCCCCTGAAACTTTGAATACTGCAAATGAATTTAAGAGCACAACATAGCCATTTCTCCACTGGTTGGCAACCCAACATCTCCCACAATCCCCAGATGTCCCAGCCTGACTTATTGACCATGTAACACAGTTCTGACCAACAACATATAAACTTGAGTTTGTTAGGTGGGACTTCTAGGACAGCTAGAATCTATCTCCTGATTTTTAAAAATAGAAATGAGGGGATGAATTCAGTTGACATAGCCCTTAACTTCTTCCTCCTTCCTCAACTTTCTGACCGGAATGCAGATGTTTGGTCTGGAGGTGCAGCATCTACCTCGTAACCACGAGGCAACAAGCTGGAGGACAAAAACATACACAGAAGGGATGACAGAGCAAAATATGGAAAAGGCTTAGTACTTGATGGCATCACTGAAGTATCATACTAGCCATAAGCAACCTACCCCAGAACTTCTTATTGTGTAAAATAAACAAACCCCATATCTTTAAGCCACTGGTAGATTTTCTGTTGCTATCAGCCAACTGCATTGCTGATGCTAACATAACCCGACGAAAGTAAAAACAGGAAGGAGGGGATGGTGTGAAGAATAAAGTCATATTTTTTTTAGAATTACGAGCCAAGCAAAACAAAGTAGGAGAGTCAACCAAAGTTTTCAAGATATCAAAACCCAGCATTATGTGGTAGAACATGGTCGAAGCCTAGCCACAGATAGAAATGTACACCTTTTGTTGAGAATGATGGTTTCCAGCTTCATCCATGTCCCTGCAAAAGACATGAGCTCATCCTTGTTTATGTCTGCATCGTATTCCATGGTGTATATGTGTCACATTTTCGTTATCCAGTCTATCATTGATGGGCATTTGGGTTGGTTCCAAGTCTTTGCTATTGTGAACAGTGCTGCAATAAACATACATGTGCATGTGTCTTTATAGTAGAATGATTTATATTCCATTGGGTATATACCCAGGAATGGGATTGCTGGGTCAAATGGTATTCCTGGTTCTAGATCCTTGAGGAATTGCCACACTGTCTTCCACAATGGTTGAACTAATTTACACTCCCACCAACAGTGTAAAAGTGTTCCTATTTCTCCACATCCTCTCCAGCATCTGTTGTTTCCTGACTTTTTAATCATCACTAATCTGACTGGCGTGAGATGGTATCTCATTGTGGTTTTGATTTGCATTTCTCTAATGGCCAGTAATGATGAGCTTATTTTCATGTTTCTTGGCCGCATAAATGTCTTCTTTTGAGAAGTGTCTGTTTATATCCTTTGCCTACTTTTTGATGGGGTTGTTTTTTCTCGTAAATTTGTTCCTTGTAGATTCTGGATATTGGCCCTCTGTCAGATGGATAGATTGCAAAAATTTTCTCCCATTCTGTAGGTTGCCTGTTCCCTCTGACGGTAGTTTCTTTTGCTTGCAGAAGCTCTTTAGTTTAATTAGATCCCATTTGTCAATTTTGGCTTTTGTTGCCATTGCTTTTCATGTTTTAGTCATGAAGTCTTTGCCCATCCCTTTGTCCTGGATGGTATTGCCTAAGTTTTCTTCTGTGGTTTGTATAGTTTTAGGTCTTACATTTAAGTCTTTAATCCATCTTGAGTTAATTTTTGTATAAGGTGTAAGGAAGGGATCAAGTGTCAGTTTTCTGTGTCTGGCTAGCCAGTTTTCCCAACACCACTTATTAAATAGGGAAGCCTTTCCCCATTGTTTGTTCGTGTTAGGTTTGTCATAGATCACAGGAACAGAAAACCAAACACCGCATGTTCTCACTCATAAGTGGGAGTCGAGCAATGAGAACACATGGACCCAGGGAGGGGAACATCACACACTGGGGCCTGTTTGCGGGTGGGGGAGCTAGGGGAGGGGTAGCATTAGAAGAAATACCTAATGTAGATGACGAGTTGATGGGTGCAGCAAACTACCATGGCACGTGCATACCTATGTAACAAACCTGCACGTTCTGCACATGTATCCAGAAGTTAAAGTATAATAAAATAAATAAAATAAAATAAATACAGCAAAAGTTTAAAAAGCAGATTCTAGAGTCCTACCCTAAAATAAAATAAAAGAAAAAAAAAAGAAATGTTCACCTTTTCAGCTAACAGCAGTATTGAGGAGTTCTCAAAGTGAAGGACTGAAGGGGTTCTTGAGACAAGTCACTCAGAGCAATAAGCCTCTGTTGCATCGTTTTGAAATGGAACATTTATAGCACATTTTAAGTCAATACCTATGTGGTTTAGGTTACAGGAGGGCAAAGAGGTGAAAACTTGCAGGTAGAGAAGTTAAGGCTTCTTAAGACCTGATTCTATTTATTTAGTTTTAGTCTTGCCTGAGGTGGGGTGGGGAGCTGGAGAGATGCAGGGTGCTAATTGTTTGCTATTTATTTAAAGTCCATCTATTCAGAGGGAATATTCCTTAAGGTCAAAGATTGAATCTTCTAATCAAAACTAGTGCCTGACACACAGTGGGGATAAATGCTCATTGAATAAATGAATAAATGCCATTTCTATATAATTCACCTGTTGCATTTTTTTCAGGCTTAAATTCTCTTTAAAAAAATGATTCATACGGTAAAAAAAATTAATTTCTGATTTTTTTCTTCTTGATATTGCTTGACCTTTCCTCATAAAAACACTATTTATCTCTTAACATAGCTCCAGTTTCATTCCCACCATAAGGGTCTGTGAGGAATCTATTGCTGTAAATGGAATAAATGAAGACAGCAAGAGTTCTGTGTCCTTATATTCATCTCCCGGGAGCCTCTACTACATTTCTGTTGCTTCTCTACCTTCTGAGAGTAAATGGAACAAAAATCTAACACTGTATTTAATGAGAAAATAATTGACTATTTCCTTTACAACACAGTTAGAGCCAAAAACATCCATGGGGATCAGTTTCCAACATTTTCACACAGAATTGCACAAATTCCAGTGATGATAATATAAAACTTAATTCGGATTCCATTTGTTTTTCACTTGCCAGGGGGAGATTTGAAACAATGGGTAATCCCACAGTTCTCTTTTTTATAGAAAATTTAAATAAACAGCTTTCTATTTACGGAGTGAGGAAAGCTCTGCCTGACAATTATCAAGCAAGCAAGGCTGAAATACCGCACCACAGAGCTCATCCATCTATGGTGTTTTTTCACATGGCTGTGGCACTGAATGATGGCAGCAAAGCCATGCTGGGAACTTGAACGCCTTTTACCCAGCATGGTGGCATTGAGGTTGTTTTAGGCCTTGAGAATAATAATGACTTAAGTTGTTATAGTACCTTTTAAGTCAAAAGATGTTTAAGTGATTTTCCCTACCCACCAGGTTTAAACCTTCGTTTGCTCTCGCATTTTTAAAGCATTGCAGCATGAATCTGAGACCACAAGCACAAGTGGTGCAAGTGGCTCAGAGAGACGAAGAGTTTGGGAGGCAGAGTGAAGAGCCCACAATAAAACTGATAGCAATGGATGGAGTCACATATATTTGATGGAGTCACATGTATTTGACATAAGGGAAACAGCCTCTGGGGTGCACTCAGAGGTAATCACCAGTGTTCATTAAAAGAGAAGGTGGAATTTAGCAGACTTCTAGTGTGAATCCATCCCAAATTGGCACCATTTAAACCCTCTGCATGAACACCACTCAGAACTTAATCTTCCTCCTCAGCATGAAGCTTCATTCTGCACCTTTCTCCCAGGCTGAGACTCCAGGGCCTGCTGCTTTCCTGGGAGAGCAACAGGAAAGAGTTGATGGCTGAGTAAAGTTGCAGGGCCATTAGTGACAAGGCAGGCCATGACCCCATATCCTGCCATCCCTGCTGCTCCATTACTACAGTGGCTCTCAATTCATAGGAATAAAATAAAGGAAGAGAAGGGCCAATTTAACACAGCAGCAAACTGTTTTTTTTTCTAAGCAGTCAACCATTTTGTCAGTAGGAAATAGTTGTCTTCACAGATGTCAAGCAGTTAATCACCCCCAAAACCCCAAGAAGAAAAAAGGGATGCAGGTGCTGACATCTCAAGGTCTTGAACACCAAGTTTATCTATTCTTAAAGTGAGTTGCAATTGATTTCTCATCTGTAAAATACCTACAGTGTTGCTGTGAATTTAAATGACTTGATTTATGAAAAAAATAGAAACAAAACTCACATATAGTTAAGTACTCAGTACTTATTCAGTCAATCCAATGTCAATTTTTGAGAACAGAACAAGCACTGAAGAGTCAGCATGGAACCAGGTGGTTCGAAAAAACTACATATTAATTACTAACATATAGGAAAAGTTTGCAACAAGTTTTGTTTGTTTGCTTCTACTTTTAGATTCAAATTTTCTATCACTTAGAAAAATAGTCACAAGGCTAATTTAGATCTCTGAAGGAACAAATTGTAAAAATTTTTCTTAAAATGTTTTTACATAAATTTTAAAAATTGGAAGCAATGTCTTTCTATTATATACCATAAAAACCTATATTAGTCAGTGAAGTCACCAAATTCAATTTTGTTACTACTCAAAATATTAATTTTTAAAAAGTAAATGACAAAATGGTTTTAGCTTCATTGTCAATAGTGAACTCCTCTGATAACTTTTTTAAATTACCTACTTGTATTTTAACACTTGCATGGAAAGTTTTAAGGTATTCAGTAGCTTGATAAAATCAAGCAAATTGTTACCAATGGAATAAATTTCTTCATCATACTCAGATTCAGTCTTCGGTAATTTAATTCAAATTTTAAAATTAACATTAAATAAAGTGCATCAAGATTCTCAGATGAACAGTTTGATTAGTCTGTATCTAAGTGTTCTGGTTAGTCTAAATAAAGATCAATGTGCTAGAAAATTACAGGAGAAATAAAAAATGAATGACCTGCCATAATTTGATTAGTAAAATTGAAACATGTATTTTTTATGTAAATTCAAGATGCACAATGTCTTGTTTCTTTCCTCTTCTTAGAATCAATGAAGAAATAAATATGTATTATATGCCTCTAATGGCCAAGGCTCTGTGACCAAAGCTGTGGAACCCCTAGAGATTTATCAATTACTGTTCCACAATGGTTCTTCATCTAGAAAATGGTAGGGCAAATTGGATGCAGTCCTTTTATAACTATAGTTAGAGTAGTCTTTATTGAATAAGTTTCTTATTTAGATATCCTACCACTGTAACACCATCTATATATTTTATCTATCTGTTAATCTCTTGTCATGTTACTAAAATGAATTAACAATAATTTACCAATTGGAAGAGCATGCCCAATAGACATTTTATCTGTAGCTCACATAATAAGTGGCCAATGCCTAGCGCAAGAATGAAAAGGGAAAGGGAAATAATATTTGTAAAATGTTTAGACAGGGTTTACTATGTGTTGGATGTTTTATACATTTTCCCTCATTAATACTCATAATAATCCTATGTGGTAGATATTATTATATCTATTTTATAAGTGAGCAGAATGAGAGTGATATCAGCAAGATGACAGAATAGGAATTTCTAGCACTCGTCCTCTTGCAGAAATATGAAATTAAACAACTATCCACACTTAGTATATCATCACAAGGGCTAAGAAATTCAAGTGAGAGATTACAGCTCCTGGGTGCAGCAAAAAGAGAGATAATGGGCTGATATATTCAAAGTGCTAGGAAAACAAAATCAGTCAACCAAGAATACTATACCCAGCAAATCTGTTCTTTAAAAATGAAAGAAGAAAAATACTTTCCCAAGCAAACAAAAGCTGTGGGAGGGCATCACCACTAGAACTGCCTTATAAGAAGTGCTAAAGGGATTTCTTCAAGTTTAAATGAAGACACTAACAGCATGAAAGCATATGAAAATATAAAACTCACTGTAAATATAAAAATACAGTTAAGTTCAAAATACTCTAATATTTTAATGGGGGTACATAAAGTACTAAAAACAAATACAGCTACAATAATTTTTTTTTTCGAGACAGAGTCTTGCTCTGTTGCCCAGGCTGGAGTGCAATGGCATGATCTCAGCTCACTGCAACCTCCCACCTCCTGGGTTTAAGCAATTCTCCTGCCTCAGCCTCCTGAGTAGCTGGAATTACAGGCGTGTGCCACCACACCCAGCTAATTTTTTGTATTTTTAGTAGAGACAGGGTTTCACCATGTTGGCCAGGCTAGTCTTCAACTCCTGACCTCATGATCCACCCACCTTGGCATCCCAAAGTGCTGGGATTACAGGTGTGAGCCACCACGCCTGGCCCAATAATTTGTTAATGGATACAAAATATTCAAAATATGTAAATTGTGACATCAAATACATAAAATGTGCAAGGTGGAGAAGCTAAAGTATAGAGTTTTTTAATATGGTCAGATAAATTGTCACCAATTTAAAATAGACTATTATAAGATGTTTTATGTGAACTTCATGGTGACCACAAAGAAAAAGCCTGTAGTCGAATACGCAAAAAAGAAAAAGAAAGCAAAGCATAACATCATAAAAAATTATCAAATCATGTAGAAAGATGGCAAGAGAGGAAGAAAGGAAGAAAGAAATTACAAATTAGAAAATAATAAACAAAATGACATAAGTAAGTCTTTATCTAGCAATGATTACTTCAAATGTAAATAGACTAAATTATCCAATGGATTTTTTAAAAGCAAGATTCAATTACATGCTGCCTACAAGAGACTTAAATTAGTTTTAAGGAATATGGATAAACCTGGAGGATATCATACTAAGTGAAATAAACCAAGCACAGAAAGACAAATACTGCATAATATCACTTATATGCAGAATCTGAAAAAGTCAAACTCATAGAAGTAAAGAGTGGAATGGTAGTTATCAGGAACTGTTGGGAGGGGGGAGTAGGTAAACTGGGAGATGTTGGTCAAAGCAAAAAATTTCAGTTACGCAGGATCAATAAGTTCTGGAGAACATTAGTATAGTGTGGTGGCTACAGTTTAAAACCAGTACATTTACTTGAAATTTGCTAAGAAAATAGGTATTGAATGTTCTCATGACAAAAAAATGGAAACCATGTGCATTAATGGATATGTTATTAGCTTGATGGTGATAATTTTTTCACAATGTCTATGTAGTACGTCAAAATATTGCATTGTATACTATTAATCCGTACAATTTTTATTTGTCACTTATACCTCAAAAGAATGAAAAAAATTAATAAAAGAAGACTGAGTCTAAGTAATTTGTAGTAGTCATAATAAAGTATTTACAACATGATCATTTATCATGAAGCCTCTACATGTACATTACCATACTATCCATAATTAATGGCAGACTATAGGACTTCCCCTAAACTGTGAGATAGTATTGAGAAGCAATATTGCATAACGGATAAAAGGCTGGGTTTTAGAATTAGGTCTGCACTCAAATCCCTATTTCACCACTTGTCCATGTAGGGTCTTGAGCAAGTTATTTAACCTTTTTAAGCCTCAGTGTCCACATTTGTAAAAGGCAAAAGCAATTTACTTCCTCATAATGTCTTATTGTATGAAATAATACACATAAAATACTTAATCCAGAGCATGCCATGTTAATACCAAAAATGTACAGAGTGCTTATAATGTGCCAGGCATTGTTGTAAGAGTTTAAACTCTCATAACCATTGATTTTAGTAAATATTCACCACAACTAATATTTCATTGTTAAAACAACTTAAGCATGTTTAAACATCTTTTGGCACTCCTGTATTTCTACCCTCTTTATCTGACTGACCTAGCTTCAGCTTCAAAAAACTTTCATTTTCTTCGCACACTTAAACATAGTTCTATTAGTATTGTTAGCTATAACCCTAGTACAATGCAGTATAGGTTTCTGTAGTATCTATATCTAAGAAATATGATAGCTACAAAACAAAGTTTAAAAGTGAGTCATAAGGTAATATCTACTTGCATATCTGGTTTTATTAATATTATGAAATCAATGACAGAAAATGTGTTCTTGGTTAACCGAGCAATGAAATTGAGTCAATGAAACATGGCCATTCCAATCTACGGAACAGGATTTACAGCTTAAATGGCCCAGAGAAAACCAGCCCTGCAAATGTGTATTCAGATGCCACAAAAACAAAATAACAATAAATAACAATTTTTAGCTCTTATTTTGTGCCAGACACTGTTGTAAGTACTTTTCATTTATAAGTAAAGTCATTAATCCAATCTATGGATTAATGCTCTTACCTTCTCCATTGTATAGACTAAAAAATTGAATCACAGAGAAGTTAAAGAATTTGGCCAACTTCCCATGATTTTACTTCCCATAAAATCACGTACCTTAGAGCTAGCCTGCCTTGGTTCAAGTCATACTAACTTCAAGTTAGAACTTGGTTCAATACTAACTTGAACCAAGGCAGGCTAGCTCTAAGGTACATGATTTTAACCACTAAACAGCATCCTCAACACAATAATAAAGCAAAATATAATATTTAAATTATCTGGCTATAATAGAATCATGTAGTTCATTTACTAGCTTATCATACAAATTCAATTTCTTTATTTCATAAACTTGCAGTTTGAAAATCAACTCCTACAAATTTTAGACAATGCAAAACCCCATTTGTAAACATATGAAGATGCAGGAAACTCTCTCCCTCTTCCACTCCTAAATCATTGCATTAATCAACAGAAAGCTCTACTCACTAGTAGACATTATCTTTCATTTAGAAAATTCAGTTTGCTGTGATTAATTTTTTAATGTTTCAATTTCAGCTTCAATTACCCATGAAAAATTATAGATCTTGTGTATTAAATATTAAAACATTCCAGGAAAATTGCACATAGTTCTTCCATTTAAAAAATAGCATAACCCGAGTTTAGAGTGCCACCATCTATATTTCAACTCTGCTCCAAATCTTCGTTTTGCTAAAAGCAAAAGCTCTGCAGTTAGAATTAACTGTAAAAATCTTAAGAAGCCCAACAAATCAAGACCTTTAGACAAAAAATGATTCTATGAATTTGAATAATTCAATATATACAAAAGATGTATAGAGAGTCATCTCACAAGAGAACTAAAAATAGTACCTCAGAGCCAACTGGGGTTATTGTCTTTAATGGGCAAAATTGCATTGACAGCCTGAAATTCTTAGTTAATAGCAAAGCTAAAGTAACTCACAGAAAATAACACTTTGAAGTAGTCAGAAAAATTAAGAATGGCTACAGTCAATCTAGTAACACCCAGATATTGAGATGTAGATTGGAAACTAATAATGAATGATCGCTTAGAAGGAAAAGAAGCTAGATAAAGTTATATAAAACATAAGTAAACAATTTTCAGGGCCTTTAATGTAAGAATTTCGAACTTCCTCATAGCACTCCAATGTTATGAGACATTCTACTAACATTCTGCTAACAGATTCATGACTAAAGACCAGTATATCTTAAAATAAAAATCTTTTTGGTACTTTAAAAATTACTAAAGTCCATTGGACTAGATCCAAGATGGTCTTACCTTAAGGCCATATTCAATTCTGTATCAAATAGTTTTGTTGTAAACTTCATGTCATTGTTTAATCCATTCATTCATTTAAAAAATATTTGCCACTTAACGTGGTTCAGTCAGTACATTTGACATGAAGCATGCAGAGATGAATAAAACAACTTTGCAATGACCTTCACCGTTAAATCTACCAAGCCAATTTTAAAGATAGTTTAGGGCATTAAAACAAAGCCAATTATAATCCTTCACAATATACTAAATGCTTTTCACAAACGTTATTTTATCTTCAAAATTTTTCTGTGAAAAAAGCTAATGCTATATCTTTTTTACAGAGGAAGAAACTGAGGCTCAAAATTTTTATGTAAATTGCCAAGGATAACACTTCTAGTATAAAAACAAATTTAAACTTGGAATTTCAGCTTCAAAATACACAATTATTACACTGTATATTTTTTTCAGTGTGTGAGACGGAAATGAATGGTGAGCCTGGTAATAGAACCTCAAATGCTTCAACAATTAGGGATAATTCTTTTCATCAAACCCTGTGAGGAAAAAAGACAAGAACAACACTGAATACTAGGAAGTGATATAACAGCCTAAATCATAACTTTTAGCTAGTCCTTCTCCTATTTTAAAAGACAAGGTTCCCCACCATTCAGGCAGGGGTGTAATATGGAGATGATTTTGTTCCACTTCCTACATCTCATACTTGAAATGCCCTCCTTCTGACTTCAATATCCTGATTTTCCATCTCTTATATGGCCATACAACATCCTATTTCTCCATCATCCCATTCAGGGCTTCATTTGCTTCCTTACTAAGCTCTATAGCCACGATCAGCTATTTCCAAATTGCCTATAGCACTTTAAAATCCTTTGTCCCTTGACTCCTTCTTATTATATTTTTATTATATCTTATTTTTATTATAATGGAGAAAATCTGAAACCATGACTGCGCCCACTGCATTTTTTTCTCTTTTACTTGGTCCTTGGCCCCTGTGCTCCTCAATCGCTCTCCTTTTCTTATTTCCTCTAGTGCATTTTTCACTTCCACTGTTTGACAACATTTTCACATTTTCCCAGGCTGCAATCCCATTCCCACTGCTCCAATTTGATCCCCACCACCATCTCAACTCTCAGGAAATGACTTAACCTCTCATCAGGACACTAGTAAACAAAGATTTATGGATTTGGGTCTAAGGTCAAATTTTGAAGGCAGATGATCAGTGATAGAATGCGAAGAGTAGGAGAGTAGAGAAATGGGATCTGGGTTAGACCACAGCCTGTGTAGTGGGTCTACAGCTAGAAACGCACAGAAGATAAAAGTCAGTTTAATATATCAAGAAGCTTTATGTGGCAGAAGATAAAGAAAGTATTAGAAGTGGGGATACTGATTGGTAAAGAATCTTAAAATCCCATGGTTGAAAACCAGTTGAATAAGATCATATTTTGGAATGTAAACTATAGGATTTTTTAACAATATCTAAAGAAGATGATGCAAAAAAGAAAAACCCATTGAAGACCAATAAAAGGGCCAAAAGCATTCTCTGTCTTCACCCTCT
The DNA here is from genome assembly GCF_000001405.40 of Homo sapiens. Lineage (NCBI taxonomy): Eukaryota > Metazoa > Chordata > Mammalia > Primates > Hominidae > Homo > Homo sapiens. The sequence goes on along the minus strand of NC_000004.12, from coordinate 83,814,431 downwards.
CTCTCCTGATTTTTTCTTTCCTTTTTGTTATTAGCATATTAAAGTTTCCATTAAAATTTTAAGAGATGCTAGTTTATGTAAGACATGTATATCTAACCACACAACTATATTTGTCTTTGGCTTCTTAAGTCAAAGATACACTTAATACCTGCATACGAAGTTCATTAATAGTTTAGGACAAGTGTTCAATGATTACACAGATCTCTGGGCAATTTATCATTGCATTTTAAATAATACTGAACTTCTTTTGCTAATACAGGACCAGGTGTTTGTGAGTGTAATGGACACATATGAGATGTTCTGCCTACCACTACCCCCATCTGTCTTCTGGAAAGGAGTTTAGTGTAGTGGAGACAAATTCTGTGCTGTAATGGCCGTTGCCTGACCTCAAATCTCAATTCCATCATATCCCTCTTAAGCAACAGGATAAATTATCTAATATCTCTGAGACTTGGTTGTCACTCTGTAAATTTGGCAGTTAAAAACAGTACCTCCCTCATGAGACAGTTGAGAATTACGGCGCCTGGATATAGTAAGCCCTCAAAATCTTAAGGTGATGTTATAATTATTCTAGGAACTATTTCTCCTCTTCTCACCCACATGGCTCCAATAGAAACTCACATGATAGAAAGAACAGCCTCCCCTGATCACAGTCAACTGGTCTAGGGTTGTACCTCCCACCCTAGTGGAACCCAGGAGTCCTTTCTCATATTTAAACTGGACTTTCTCTTCAAGACTTCAAGCTAGCTATTCAGAGAAATGCAAATACTTTTATTAAAATATTAAGGGAATTTCAAAAAAAAACTACAGTGTATGAAGGGAAAGATTAACGTTCTAGTACACTTAAACTTTCTCTTGAATTTCCAAAGGAATGGTACCTTAAGACTTAGACCTTCATGAGGGAAGGGAAATCTTTGGACAATATCCCCAATTCCAGGGTGGCTCTTCCTTTCCCTCCACAAGATATTCCTCTTACCAATTACTCTACAACTCCTCCTTATGCCCTCTCCCCCAATGCATTCCCTGAGAAGTATAGTCTGTTTCAATTGTTCTCAACCTGGGGCAATCTTGCTTCTCAGGGGACATATGACAATATCTAGAGACATTTTTCATTGCTAAAACTAGAGGATGCAGTGCTCCCGGCATCTAGTGGGCAGAGACTGGTGTGAATAATATGAATGTTGAGAATCAAAACAGAGAAGTGAACCTTTTCTCCACCAGCAAAAAAGTCCATCTACCTTTGAAATCGGTTCTCTCCCATTATTATGTAGAATAGTTGTAATCGTTTCTTGTCTACCTAGGTCCTTCCAGAGTCATATATCTAGTGCTACATTAGTATTAAAAGTTGTTTGTTACCCTGGGGATGGATTGGGAATGATTCCATTCATACAATTCAGAACTTAGCCATTATGAGCCAGGAGGAGAGGGGAAGTTGCCAATCTTCCCAGCAAATGTATATTCCAGAGAGAGACTGCACATACTCTTAAGAAAGAAGTTAGGTTAATGCCTGTTGAGACAGCCACTGTGATTATTGTGCTGAAAGAACTTTGTTAGGGAAATAACAAACTTTACACAAACTCAGTGGATGCTTTAGACAAGGAGAACACTGATCACAAAGTCAGTATTAGTAAATAGGAAGATGGGCTGCAGTAACCAATCAGGCTTTCAGAAGGTAATTAAAAATACTGGTTCAGCTGGAGCAAGGGACGGACACTGAAGAACTAGAAGTGTGAGTCCTGCCTCATTTCACAAATGATAACAATAGGATAAACTGCGATGACCATACCTGGTATCTTAGTCCATTGGGCTGCTATAATAAAATAGCATAAAATGGTATAATCAATGGGTGACTTACAAACAACAGAAATTTACCTCTCACAGTTCTGGAGGCTGGGAAGTCCAAGATTAGGGTACCTGAAGATTCAGTGTCTAGTGAGGGCCCACAATGTTGTTCATAGACAGTGTCTTCTTGCTGTCCCCTCGCATGGTAGGAGGAGTGGAACAGCTCTCTTTGGTATATAAGGCCACTAATCCCATTTATGAAGGCTCTGCCTTCCTGACTTAATCAACCACAAAAGGCCTCACCTCCTCATACCATCACCTTGGAGGTAAGAACTTTCACATATTAATTTTAGGGGGACACAAACGTGCAGACCGTAGCACCTGGTCATAATATTGGCTTAGGGAACCTTGTAATAAAGTACATTGAAGACAAATTCACAATGAAATGTATCTAGAGACATAGATAGTGGTTTATCTTATGCATAGACCACTATAACATAAAAATTGTTTAGTAAGAGCACACTAGATGTTTTAAAATTAATATTTTTATTGGTTAAAATTTATAATAGAAATATGTCATTAAGTAAAACTATGGATAAGTATTGAAATCCACAAATACATAAGATATAAAGAACTGCTTCAGCCAAGCAGAAGATTGAGTATTCAAAAAATGTGGATGATTTAAAAATATAAGTTAAAAAAAACATATGGAAAGGTAAATTTGGTATGCTTGATTTTTGCAATGGAAAGAAATAAACATCAAGAGGGATATTGGAACAGTCGTTAGTCTTTGGACACAAAATCAGAGTAAAATTGCCCGATTCTTTTAGAAGAAAATGAGGTATGGCTATATTTACAGTACAATTTCCTTATTGCAAGGAATCCAGGGTTGAGTTTTTTATCCAAGTTCACTCTTACATTTTCCTCATTCTATTGGATATTATAATAAAAAAATGGCACCAAAAGAAACTGTTTAATAGTCCATTTTGTACTGTCCATTACAGAAACCATGAAGTTATTTGGATGATAGATACAGAGATACGCTGCTCAGATGCCCCTTTCAAGAAAGAACTTGCTGCCTCTTGCTCAGTTTCTTCCTGGAGCTTTCAAGCATCTTTGCAGGGAAGTCACATCCTTCCCAGGGCAGCCCGACTGACCAAGGTAGGGGTACAAAGATTCACCCATTTCAGCCCATTGCAGGACACTCATTCAGATGGGATGCTTGAACCACAGTTCCTCACCAAGTTGGCCAAGGCATGGTTTCCTTTGCTCCTTCTTTCTTCCTCTCTTTTCCTTTTACCCGAGTAAATATCTTGCACCACAAGCTCCATCTCATCATCTGCTTCCTGAGAACCCAACCTGTGAAATTTATATTTAGAAGAGTCTCAGAAGTTCTTTGTCAGATCTTCCACTCAACTACAACAGTTTATGGTACTTCAAAGTAGCATCAGAATAGTCTGATGTGATGAAGAGTGCTGACTTTGTAATATACTTACCCATGGGTTCTAATCTTACCTCTACCTCTAATTAGCAGTTTGAACTTGGATAAAGTACATAATCCCTCTAAATTTTGGTTTTCTTATCTGTGAAACAAGGGTAATAATATTTACTGCAAAGAACTGTTATGAAGAATGAAAGTTAAGTAATGTATATAAAATGTTTACCATGGTATCTGGCTCATAGCAGGTAAGAAAAAATAATAAAAGAAAAAAGACTGAATAATTTACAAACAGATAAATCTACTCGAGAAAAAAGCAGAAATGGGAAGTTTAGAGATTTTGATAAAAGTTGGAATTCTTTGTTGATATGTTCATGTTCTTTGTAATGTTATGGTAAAAATTTCCTAGATGATAGTTTATAAGCCTAGTTAATAAAATAACCAGGGGCAGCAGAAAAATTGTAGTGTGGGAGGCTGTGGAGGTGGTGGGAATATCTGAAATAACTGTTACAGCAGTTGTAGCAAGAATCTTGGCCTCTCTCTGACACATATATTGGATCTACTCACTCTCCTTTATGTCTGAATCCTTACAATAAGAAATCTCTAGAGTATTAGTCACCTGAAATTGGCTGTACTAATAGCTGAGTAGTAAGAATAACTGAAAAGAATAAGACTTATAATAGGTTATAAGAGGAGACAAACTCAAGGAGGGGACTTGGTAACTGTGAAAGTACAATAAAAAAGCATTTAATTATGAAATTCAGCATTAAGTTTTTCTACGTCCAATAGTACTTTAAAATGTCTTCTATGTATCTCTCTATATCCTTGACATCAGTGCACATAAGTTTTGCCAACTGGATGAAAAATACTGACAGTTAGATTGTTATAATTATATAGACAGCCACTAGCTTTCAAAGTGCAAGACTTGCTTCAACTTGGAAAGCATAGTACCCACTATGTCTTCAAGTATCTGGGCATCTTGGAAGCCATTTCTGGCACAGAAGAAAGCTTGAGAGTAGACATTTCAGTTTTTATCTATAGTACAAAATGTTATTTCAACCCCATAGCTCCTAAGGAATGAAGCTAGTGTCAAAGATTTAATGCCTTTTCACATTAGTGATGTCAGCACAAAATGGCCATCTTCTCTGAATAATTTATCTTCCTGCTGCATAATTTTCTTATCTTTTTTTCTACATTTTGGCTTTTTACTGTAGATGAGAAGGTAAATGGCTGTTAGTCCCTGACAAAACCTGTGGAGCATCCTTCCCATCAATCAATTAAAAAACACTTACCTTACATTCAACATGATTTATTTCTTGTTAATACAATTGTCTCACTATATCCTTCTATTATTATACCCTTAATTCCATTAGCCATTCACTTAATGCTCACTTTAAAGCTGACCCCCAAAGAGCTTAAAAGAGAGAGGGAAGTCCGTCTAATAGTGGCATTGCCAATAAAATTCTGGAAGCTCTTCCCCTAAAGCCTTGTAGGTCACGGAAAAGATAGGTCACAGAATGTATCCTGCCTGAAAAGAATAAAGCAATCTCTCATTTATTTATTCTGATGGATAATGCTTGATGGCTTAAAAATCCTTAAGAGCTTTCATCTTAAAAGTCAACACAATAAGTTCACCAAGTGAAATCCTACACATTGCACAAGGATGGATAAGACTCTTCCACGTTTTTCTTAATAAAATTTAAAAGGGGAAAACAAAGAGAAAACCATTTGTATTTTTTGAAGATTAATGACTCATTTGTTTGGAGGTGGAGCAAAAGGTTAACCTCTTAAACAGCTAAGTGACACACAAAAAATGTAGTATTATTTCTCATAGTGGTGAAGCTACATGCTCTCTAGCAAATGTCCTCCATTTGGATTGAAGTTTAAAAGCTATAAAAAGAAATCCTTCTACTGCACTTCTAAAATTATAGGTTGAAGAGCCGCTATGATTTTTCTCAGTGAGAACTTATGCTTTCTTTCTGAAATTTACTTATACGAATGTCTTCATACAATATACAAGCATATGTATTTTTGTCAATGCATATTGGATTAGGTCATATGTGGCAGGCTAGATATGCCTTGCTAATAGACATTTCTGTCTGCTTCCTTGCTGATAGAAACCTAGTTTTATTCAGGTGCCTGTGCTTCAGAGATAGAGAATCCATCTGCAGCCTAAGGGTAAACCTGGACAGTAAAATCAGTACTGGAAATTCCCCAGCCCTTATTGGTCATTAAAGTCGAGGCAGACTTCTGGGACAAGTTTCCTCATTTCTAAAAATAATGATAAAACATGGATGTGTTCATAACCACTGTGATACCTGGGGTCTTAATCATTATCTTGTGACCTTGAGAAGTGGTAGCTAAGTATGAAGTCAACATCCTGGGTATGAGAGAGTAGAAAGATAGAAGATATCTCTTCCCTTGAAACATAATTTATCCCTGGAATTCATCAAACTGAAACTGTCTTACTTCAGTGCTTTTTGTTAAATGAAATAATACATAGGCTCGTTATGTCAGGTGACTAAGCATTATCTATTAATTACATCTGGAAGCATCATGGCTGATAACATCATAGACACTTTTTTAAATTGTCTTTTCTCTTTTTGCTATTTGCTTCCTCTTCCTCCCCTTTCTCTTTTTCTTTCTCTGTTCTGAATCTTATCTCATTTAGCCCTAATTTTAATTAACTTATTTTTATGATCTAGTGTGTGTCCTTTTGTATTTTTCTGTATATACACTTAATTACATACAAAGGCATATAAATGCACATATATACATACACATTTATACACATACATACATACCCATTGGTAAATAAGTATGCAAGTTTTATGGCTTTACCAACAAAATGGGATTATATCATACACATTCTTTTGCACCGTTTTTTTTTCATTCCACAATGCTGCATGGACATTTCTTCAGGTCAACTGATATAGCTCTAAATTCAACACAGGTTCAATAATATTTATGATATGGGTATGAAAATTCATTTTCCTATTGATTGTCATTCTCTTTGTTTTTAATTTATTGCTAAATAAACGAGAGCTAACATAAACCTTGGGCATATATCCTTTCATACTGGTGCTTTTATTTACATGGAATAGATCCCAAGATAGCTATGTGAAAGGAAATATGCATTTTCTTTTTAATAATTATTTTCCCTAAAGGCCATAGTGATTCACAGTTTCACCAGTGATATGTGAAAAAAACTATTTCCCCAAATAGTCACCAGCACTAGTTTTCACTTCTTAAGCTTTTGTCAACTTGATAGGTACAATGTGATAGTTCATTCTTACTCCGATTTGCATCTTCCTCTCTGCTGCTAGAGTTTCAGCATATTTGGGAATGTTTGTTAACATTTGTATTTTCTCTCCTACAAATAGGATATTCTTGTCTTCTGCCTGTTTGTTGTTGCTGCTGTGTGGCTTTTTCTTTAACCAGTAAACTTGTAGAGTGTTTTATTTATTATATAAGATAATTCTGTCATCGGTGTTGGAAATGCTGTTAAACAATCAATCCTTTGTCTTTGGGCATGGTACATTTTCTAAACATAAATTTTTTAATGGCAAATATGCCCATATTTTATTGCCTAGTTTCTGAGTTTACAGTTAATATTAAGAACATGTTTATACCTGTGTTGTATTCATAAGACTTTTTCTCATTTTCTCAAATTGAGATAATACCTCAATTTGTTTTTTAAAATCCAATCATTAGATTAAAAATCATTAAATTAAAAATATCTCAACTCATAGAGGCAGTAAGTAAATGGTGGTTTCCAGGGGCTGGGAGGAGAGGAAAATGGGGATAAAGTTTCAGTTATGCAAGATGAGAAAGTTCTAGAGAGATCTAGTATACAAAAATATGCATATAGTTAGCACTACTGTGCTATACACTTTCAATTTTAAGAGTATAGATTTGAAGTTGTGTATTTTTATACTATAAAAATACATTTACACTAATTTTAAGAGGAAAAATTATGATGTGTTTCATCACAACTCAAAAGATACCTAAATAATTTTCACAGATAGAAAAATACACTAATTAAACAATAAAAACAAGTATATGTAAGTAATAAACAACAACTTGAATGTAAAAACAGCTAATGCATATAATGTATATGTGTATTGGAGTGCTTTTTCCTCCTTCTTTCCCATTTTATTCACCAATGTTTAAACCTTTTGGGAGATTTAGGGTTATCTTACATTCAAACTGCACAGAAAATCAACCTTAGATAAAAACAAAAGTGGAATACTATTTGTACTATTTCAAAATTTGGAAATAGTACATGTGCACAGCAGATTGAAAAAATGTTAAGAAAAAAAACACTACCCCTTCATTCCTTCTACTTGACGGATGTGTATAAAGCAAATATTTTGGGTTCACCCAAACATCCCAATCCCAATTTATTATATGATACTCTATGACTGAAAACTATTGTGTTGAGTAAATGGTGTGTCTTTGCATGAAGCCATAATGTTGAAAAATCACTTATTTTAGTCCATTTATTTGGTATGGTTTGGGTGATAAAGCTTTACACACACACAAAAAGGAATCCTTATCCAAAAAGTGGTATAACATTTCAAGAGCCATTGTGACCAAGTCATTAATCCAATAGTCATTATCAGAGAAAACTTTGTCATCCCCTAGATTTTTTGAAGGACTTTAATTATTTTGTTTTATAATTATGTCTCTAATCCATCAGGAATTTTATATGGCATAAGATAGGATTCAACTCAATTTTATTCCAGAAGAATATATTTTATTTATTTTTAATATTAAATGTTTGTAGTTTATGTCTACATTATTTTATTCCATTGATCATTTTGTCTATGATGAAATTGATACTTTTTTCCAGCTTTATTGATGTTTAAGTGACAAACAGAAATTGTATATATTTAAGGCATTAAAATGTGATGTTTTGATAAACATACACATTGTGCAATGATTCCACAATCAACCTAATTAACATATCCATCACCTCACATAGCTACGTGTGTGTGTGCGCACACACGTGTGTGTGTGGTGAAAATACTTAAGATCTATTCTCTCAGCAAATTTCAAGTATACAATACGTTATTCTTTTTTTTTTTATACTGTAAGTTTTAGGGTACATGTGCACATTGTGCAGGTTAGTTACATATGTATACATGTGCCATGCTGGTGCACTGCACCCACTAACTCGTCATCTAGCATTAGGTATATCTCCCAATGCTATCCCTCCCCACTGCCCCCACCCCACAACAGTCCCCAGAGTGTGATATTCCCCTTCCTGTGTCCATGTGATCTCATTGTTCAATTCCCACCTATGAGTGAGAATATGCAGTGTTTGGTTTTTTGTTCTTGCGATAGTTTACTGAGAATGATGTTTTCCAATTTCATCCATGTCCCTACAAAGGACATGAACTCATCATTTTTTATGGCTGCATAGTATTCCATGGTGTATATGTGCCACATTTTCTTAATCCAGTCTATCATTGTTGGACATTTGGGTTGGTTCCAAGTCTTTGCTATTGTGAATAATGCCGCAATAAACATACGTGTGCATGCGTCTTTATAGCAGCATGATTTATAGTCCTTTGGGTATATACCCAGCAATGGGATGGCTGGGTCAAATGGTATTTCCAGTTCTAGATCCCATTCTTAACTAAGGTTACTATGCTCTACATTAGTTCTTCAGAATCTATTCAGCTTATAACTGAAAGTCTGTATCCTTTGACCAACATCTTCCCATTTACTCCCCCTTACCTGCTAGCAACCATCATTCTACTCTCTGCTTCTATGGGTTTGACTTTTTTAGATTCCACATGTAAGTGAGATCATGTTATTTGTCTTTCTGTGCCTGGCTTCTTATTTCACTTAGTATAACATATTCCCAGTTCATCCATATGACAAATGATAGTATTTCCTTCTTTTTAAAGGCTGAATTATATATATGTAAAACATTTTCTTTATCCATTAATCTGTCAATATCTTGGCTATTGTGGATAATGCTGCATGAACTTGGGAGTGCAGATGGTTTCATTTTCTGTGGATATATACCCAGAATGGGACTGCTGGGTCATATGGTAGTTCTATTTTTAATTTTTTAGGCAATCTCTATTCTGTTTTTCATAATGGCTATAACAATTTATATTCCCATCAACAATGTATAAGGGTTTCTTTTTCTCCATACCTTCACCAACACTTATCTCTTGTCTTTTTAATAATAGCCATCCTAACAGGTGTATAGTAACATCTCATTGTGGTTTCAATTTGCATTCCCTGATGATTGGTGATGTTAAGTATTTTTTCATATACCTGTTGGCCATTTGTATTTTATTTTGAGAAACATCCATTCAGGTCCTTTGATCATTTTTTAAATTATTTTTTCTGCTATTGAGTTGTTTGCATACCTTATATATTTTGAATATTATCCCCTTATCAAATGTGTAGTTTGCAAATATTTCACCTCATTCCATAGGTTGCCTTTCATATTGCTAATTGTTTCCTTTGCTGTGCAGAAACTTTTTAATTTGATGTAGTCCCATTTGTTTATTTTTGTTTTCGTTGTCTGTGCTTTGGGTGTCATATCCAAAAAAAATCATCGCCACAACTAATTCAAGGACTTTTTCCCCTATGTTTAAATTTTATAGTTTTATGCCTTACATTTAATTCTTTTTTTTTTTTTTTTGACCGAGCTTTGCTCTTGTTAACCAGGCTGGAGTGCAGTGGCATGATCTCGGCTCATTGCAACCTCTGCCTCGCAGGTTGAAGTGATTCTCCTGCTTCAGCCTCCCGTGTAGCTGGGATTGCAGGCATCTGCCACCACACCTGGCTACTTTTTTGTATTCTTAGTAGAGATGGGGTTTCACCATGTTGGCCAGGCTGGTCTCCAACTCCTGACCTCAGGTAATCCACCAGCATTGGCCTCCCAAAGTGCTGGGATTACAGGCGTGAATCACCATGCCCAGCCCATTTAATTCATTTTGAGTTGATTTTTGTGATGGTGTTAGATAAGGATCCAGTTTTATTCTTCTACGTGTAGATGTCTAATTTTCCCAACACCATTCATTTAAGAGACTATCCTTTCCCCATTGTGCATTCTTGGCACCTTTGTCAAAGATTAGTTGACCATAAATGCACTGGTTTCTTTCTGAGTTTTCTATTCTGTTCTATTCTATACAACTATATTTATTCCAGTACCATATTATTTTGATTACTATAGGTTTATAATATAACTTGATATGAGAAAATGTGATATCTTCAGTTTTGTTCTTCTATTCAAGATTGCTTTAGCTAGTTTGGGTCTTTTGTGGTTCTGAAATAATTTTAGGACTATTTTTTCTACTTCTATGAAAATTACCATTTAAATTTTGATAGAGATTACACTGAAATTTGTAGATTGCTTCTAGTGAGAAATCCACTGGTAGCTTCATGAAGGCTTATCAAGGGGTTTCCTTGTATGGGATGAGCTTTTTTCTCTTGCTGCTTTCAAAATTCTCCCCTGGTCCTTAACTTTTGACAGTTTGATTTTAATGTGTGTTGGTGAACAATATAAATTCTTTGTTAGGTAATTTATAGGTCTCTGTTTCTTTAGGGAAATCATTATGTTCCTTTGGTGGTGTCATGTTTTCTTATTTTTTATGGGTCTTAATGCTTTGTGTTGCTGCTTTCACATTTGAAGAAGCAGTCCTTCTACAGTCCTTACTGACTGGCTTTGGGAGAGAAATGCCTTCACTAGTTATCCCAGGTAGAGATTCTGAGGCCCTCAAACCCTTTCAATGGATGCACTCATTCAACACCTCTTTTTCCATCTTGAAGGTGAGGAGAATTCTTAAGATTGTGTGCTTCTCAATCTTGCAAAGCCAGGCCAGGTGCTGACCATCTCCTGTTTATTTTACCTAAGGTGATGCCTTAAATCCTCAAGTTTGTGTGCCTTCTCCTGCAGTGTCAAGCCAGTTTTCTGTGCAAGATGCTTGTACTTGCTGTCCACAGGTTGCTCTCGTGGAGTCCACTTTGAGAAGGGCAATGGTGAGGTGTGCAGAGTGTTTGTGATGCTCACAGACCAGTTGGGAGGGGTCTTCAGGCCAGGTATCCCAAGCAGCTCATGGGCAGGCTTCCTAATGGAGTCCACAAAGCAGTTAGTAGAGTCTGTAACCTCTCTTTTCTATTCCTGGCCTCTCTCAACCACTCAGCTGTGCCAACTACCTCAGAATTCTAGGTGTGATGGAAAGAAATAGGCCTCCTGTGCCAGATTCCACACAACTGAGGGAACCAGGCACTCACTTACTACACTCTCACTTTCCCCCATGGGAGAAAACATGGTTCGAGGGGTTATCTCTTGGCACTGAGCAGTGCTGCCTGGGGGAGGACCAACATGGGTAAAATGAAATTTTCTTACCCTCTTTGATGTGCCTATTCTTAAATTTTTTGCTCTAACAAAGTGCTGGAACTCATCCACTAGGTTCCTGGAGTCCCATCAAGGTACTGTTGTCTATGAGTAGTTCTCAAAATCAATGCTTCTGTAACGGGTTGGGAGGGATGATAATAGAAAGCTGCTATTCTGCCATCTTACTGTTCCTATGATTTCTTTATGGTCCATTTAATGTAGATCCTGGCCCTACTTGCTAAATTTATTCCCCCAATATTTTCTTGTTTGTGTTACTATTGTGAAGAAAATATTTTTCTCATTTCTCCTTTTTGGTTTTAATTTTTGGCATAGAGAAAAGCTATTGATTTTTGTAATTCTATTTTATATCAAATCAACTTATGAAACTATCTTATTAATTCAAGAAGGCAATTTTCCTAGAGTTTCTTAGATTTTCTGGGTTACAATTATATTAACAAAAAGATTAATTCAATCTATTTTTATTGTTTACATAAACTATTTCATTATTTTTCTCTTACCACATTACCTTTACCCTCCAGGATTATATTGTGTAAGAGTAATAGCCAATTTCTCTGTATAGCTGCTAATTTTAATTGAAGTGGTTTTAGTGTTTAGAATAACAGTTTCTTTTTAAAAGTAAATAGTCTTTGTTATATTTAGGTAGTTTCCTAGTATTCTTATTTTAATCAGTGTCTTTATTAAGAATCAGTACTTAATTGCATCAAATTTTTGTCACTATAAGATTTTCTCTTATTTTATGGATTAATGTAATATATATTGGATTTTTCTCATACTGAACCATTCTTGCACTCTAGAAATTAACACAAAATTCTTATTTACATTTTATTTAGAAGTTTATCTTCTAGATTTTTACAGAAGATTAGTCTACAATCATCTTTCATATTCTTTATATCAGATTTTGGTATTTTAAAAAATGGCTTTATAAAGAATACATTTCATTGGGCTTATCAATATTTTCTATAGCTTCGAGTAAGTTAAATAACACAGGTCTTATCTATTCATTAGAGTCAGATATAACTCAGCCAGAACCCATCTTGTTCTGGCACTTTTTTCAATGATAGATCTTTACCCTTCTACATTGATCAGACAATTAGAGTGTTCCACTTCTTGTTGAATCAGTTTTTGTGATTTGCATTTTGTTAGGAAGTATCTACACTTTTTGGACCTATTGTCATAGAATTGAGTGTAGTACTCTCTTATAACATTTTCAAATGCTTCTGTATATCTATTCATGCCACCTCTGTTGTTCATGACATTGTAAATGCCCACTTACCCTCTTTTATCCCTAAACATTCTGAAAAATGTTTATCAGTTTCATTGGCCTTTTCAGAACAATCAGGTTTTTGAATTTGTTTCTTTTTTCTTGGTTTTTGTGCATTTGTTTTGTTTTTTGGTTCATCTTTTATCTTCTCCCCACTTACTTTGGTTTTTACTTTATGTTGCAAGTACAAAGTTACTTTGTTTTTCATTCTCTATTAATAAAATTAATTAAGTCTATGAATTTCTTCTGAGAACAGCTTTTCAGTGTTGCTAAGTTTTTATCAAAAACAAGTCCCTGTTTTCTAGACAACTGTGAGTCACATATGTCAAATTATAGACAAACTTAAGATTGAAAATTAAGATGTAATTGTGAATGTGCATAGCAAAGACATAGAATCAACCTCGATGCCCATTGACAATGGGTTAAAGAAATTGTGATACATATATATGATGGAATACTATAAAGCCATAAAAAAAGAATAAAATTATGTCCTTTGCAGCCACATAGATGCAGCTGAAGGCCATTATCCTAAGCAAATTAACACAAAAACAGAAAAACAAATACCACATATTCTCACTTATACGTAGGAGCTAAACATTGGGTACACACAAACAGAGATGGGAACAGTAGACACTACAGACTCCAAAAATGGGGAAAAAAGGGATGGGGCAGAGGTTGAAAAAATATCTATTGTGTGCTATGTTCACTATTTGGGTGATGGGTTCAATAGAAGCCCAAACCTTAGCACCACAAACTATATCCATGTAACAAACCTGCACATGTACCTCCTGAATCTAAAATCAAATCAAAATAAAATTAAAAGAAGAAAAAAATATAAGTTGAGATATTTAAAGTAATGTGCAGGTGAAGGATAAGTACACTTTATGAGTGGAGGTTATATATGCAATGAGAGCCAAGGTCATAAACAATTGTCATAATGACTGTCTATCTAAAACCCTTCCATACTGGGTCACAAATATATAGTCCTATTGATACTACCAATACAGGGCAGGTTCTCCAATTGGTCTATTGGAACACAAAATAAAACCTTTTTAGCATAAACAAGAAGATATTGGTTAAAACTGTATTCAGTAGACAGAAATATGGCTAAATGATCAAGACACCATCTTAGCTCAAACTGCCATAAAAAATTGTCATGGGCCAGGCACTGTGGTTCCTGCCTGTAATCCCAGCACTTTGGGAGGCCAAGGTGGGAGAAGCACTTGAATCCAGGAGTTCAAGACCAGCTTGACCAATATAATGAGGCCCTGACTCTACCAAAAAAATAATTAGCCGGGCGAGGTGGCACATGCCTGTAGTCCCAGCAACTTGGAAGACTGAGGCAGGAGGATTACTTAAGCCTGCCCTGGGAGGTCAAGACTTCAATAAGCCATAATCGTTCCACTGCACTCCAGCCTGGGTGACAGATTGAGACCCTGTCTCAAAAAAACAAACAAACAAACAAACAAAGTCACTGATTGTGTGGCTTAAACAACAAGAATTTATTTCTCACAGTTCTGGAGTCTGGAAGTCCAAGATCAAGGGGCTAGCAGGCTCAGGTTATGGGTTATGCTCACAGATCCTTGGGTCGCAGACAGCCACCCTCTGTGTCCTTATATGGCCTTCCCTCAGTGTGTGCAGACGGAAACAGAGAAAAGAGCAATATCTCTGGCGTCTCTTCTTGTAAAGGCACTAATCTCATCATGTGGGCCCCACACCCATGACTTCATCTACACCTACGTACCTTCCAAAGGCCCCATCTTCAAACACTATCACATCAGGCATTAGAACTTCAACATATATAGTTCAGAGAATGAGGGGCACAGTCAATCCATAGGAGGCACCAAATTATTCTGTAATTTGCACCAAATTACAGGAGGCACCTGTATATATGGAGGCACCAAATGCTACAGAATGGGATGGCTTAAACAACAAGAAGCCTTGTTGGCTTTCTCATTCTTTGCTTTCACTAAATTTTATCAATTATATTCATCAAAAGATGAAATTCAGAGATACCCATGTTGGTTGAAGTGCAAAATAAACCCTAGTGTGATATTCCTGAATGTTGAGGACCATCACATGGTTAATCAGAGATAAACTGTCTTTCAGCTCCTTTTTCAATTCAGTTCATATTACCACCTACAGGTTTTTATTAAGTCTTCCTGGCAGCTTAGAACAGAAGTGTGGAGAAAAATTGTGTTTTGTGTAGTCTGCCCCCACAAGCTTTAGACTTACAAAAATTCTCTTCACAGCAGGGAAGTATAAAAGCCTTTTCAGAGGTATGTTTGTGCTGCCCTTCCCAAAAAGAAAAAGATGGTGGTGCCTCTCCTGACTCCATGAGAGGAAAGGCGCCTCCTTTGTCTCTGATCAGAGCATTTAAGCCTGAAGGGCTGGCCACAGAATTCTATGCATCTTTTAGAACTTTGATGTTAAACTGAATTCATACAAAAAAAAAAAGTCTCCATCAGTCTAGGGTTGCTGGTAACATAGAAGAATACTGATTAAGGGTGATATATCCAGAGTTCTCCTGGTTCAACTCCTCCTACTTACTGGAAGGCTCTATTCCAATCTTTCTAAATCTTAATTACCTTCTGTGCTGCTAAAGACTCTGGTCAAATTAAAAAAAAAAAATGACAGATTTTCCTAAAACCAAGTCTGAAGCATTAGTAGGTGATAGTGTTTACCGTATATAAACATTGTCTTTTGACATTTTGAATTTCTAATTGAAGCTTTCGCTCTGCTTGTCTAGTGGTGGCTGAAGCAGGAGGGTTTGCAGTGATGCTCCAATCTGGTCTTGGTGCCATCACAGGTGCTAGATGACCTGTCACATTGAGTTTTACTTTAAATATTCTGGATTTTGCAATCATGTAGTGAATCATCCAGGTAAACTTAAACTTACACTTAAACCAGGCTGCTCAGATTCAAATCCTGACTCTCCTTATTTATTCAGCAAGTTAACCTCACTGTGTGTCAGTTTGCTCAGCTGTAAAATGGGGATAAAATAGAACCCACTTCATAGGGTTGCTCTGACCTAGCTGGTCTGACATAGCACCTAGAACAGAGCCTACCTAGCTCATACTAAACACTGAGTAGGCATTAGCTATCATTATTTCATCATGCTAAGCAAACCAAATGTCTCCTTTAATAGTACAACACATCTAAATTCTAGTGATGCCTAGATTTCTTAAAAAAGAAATTGTAGAATTCAGTACATTTATTAAATCCTGTATCCATCCTCCTAACATATTTTGACAACTTATGTACATTTAAAATTTTTTCAATTAAAACCCAATTTACACAGTTAATTTATGTATTTGATATCTGATTTTCTGCTGGCAAGTATTGTTAAAAAATAATTACAGTTGTTTTTATGCACCACTTGGCTTAGGCATTATGTATATGTATGTATTTCTAAAGCGTAATAAAATAAAATTGCCTGTAATCTGCCCTCCAACTCTAAGGTCTGATTAACCCCTTTTAAAAGTTTTCATGTCAAATCTTACAGAAATTTTCTGTGTTTGTACAGATATAGTTATACACACTATATATATAGATAGATACATATATGTATATATTTATAATAGAGGAACATGCTGTACATATTAGTTTGCAACTTGCTCTTTTCTTTTAATGATATATAGTGGATCTCATTTTGTGTCAAGGTACATAAATCCATCTCATTTTTAAAAACTCTCTTTTCTAATATATCATAGACACTTCTCCATGTCAATATCAATAAGTTTACTTTATCCTTTTAACAGATATATTCAATTTCACTGGATGAGCTATGATTATATACTAATGGACATTTTGGTTATTTAAAATTTTTTTCATTTGAAAGTAATAGTGCAATAAATGCACTTACAGTTGTGTCTTTGCACACTTCCATTATTTCCTTAGGAATTGCTAGGTTTTGAGCATACATGATTTTTAGTATCAGATTTTTACTATAATTTTTGTGTATATTTCATATAACACAAACAAAATATTTACCTAGGCATGTAGTTAGCCATCTCTTCTCTAAAAAGAAATGAATTCCTTCTTCCTTTGCACACTGACATGCATTTTCCTGGAAAGAAAAAAAAATGCTGCCTTTCCTTGTCTCATTTTCAGTTAAGACTGAAAGATTTGAGCAAGGCAACAGAAACTCTTTCTTTTGAAGATTAAAAACTACATGATATGGCCAGGCACGGTGGCTCATGCCTGTAATCCCAGGACTTTGGGAGGCCGAGGCAGGCGGATCACCTGGGGTTGGGAGTTCAAGACCAGCCTGGCCAACATGGTGAAACCCCATCTCCACTAAAAATACAAAAATTAGCCAGGAGCAGTGGCGGGCACCGGTAATCCCAGCTACTCGGGAGGCTGAGGCAGGAGAATCACTTGAACCCAGGAACCGGAGGTTGCAGTGAGCCAAGATCACACCACTGCACTCCAGCCTGGGCAACAGAGTGAGACCCATCTCAAAAAAATAAAATAAATAAAATTATATGTGTGTGTGTGTGTGTGTGTGTATCCCAACAGCCAGTACCTGCTGACTTCAAACCACCAGAAATGTGTGTGTATATATCTATATACACACACACACACATACACACACATATATATAACTACATGATAAAGTACATCAACTCGTGTATGCAAGGGTGGCAATGAAAATAGTAGTTTTGGCTGAGAAGGAATAGTTATTGATGAGCTACAGGGAGAGGGGCAATTTTGTCTTATTGCTCACCTTGTCGTGAAGACAGCCAAGTTGTGAGGTTAAATTGAAGTTGGTAAATACACAATTATTCAGCTTGTGTCTTGGTAATAAATGTGTCTCTAGGCAGTGAACCTGCCAGTCCTCAGAGTACCACTTTGCTGATTAAGGAGATAAAAAGAGGATGTTGTGGAAAGGGTCATTTCAAGAGTAATGAATCCTTATTCTGTCACTGTACTTTGCCGACAGGGAGAAGAAGTTTAACAGAGATGAGGCATCCTGGAATATCCAGGTGGCAACATGGAGTAGAGATGATGACTACTTCTAGGCCATGAAAAACCAGCAGGATCCATGATGGCTGAGAAATGACAATATTGGTGAATTAAGTACATCTCAGGGAGAAGCCCTATTAAATTAGCCTAATACCTTATTGCATGATCAATAACAATGTATTTATTTTGTACTGTGGCCTTGAGTGACTTTTCATTAGGAATTTAAATGACCTTAGAAAGCCACTGAGTATAAATTTAGAATACTTTTAGGAGATATTAGCCTGGTCTCAGAGCAAAAGATGAGTGAAAATGCAGCTCATTATTTAAGTCAGAAAGAGAATGTCAAAAAACATTTCGCTGTGGCATTGAGGGAGGTAGTGCAAGTGATGTATGCAACCAAATGAGATTGCTTTGTTTTTTGGTTTTCTGGGCACAGAATAAAATAGATCAAGAAAGTGTTTGCAGTTCCGATAGATATTAACCCAGATAACTGTTGAGATTGAGAAGGTTGTGAGATTGGCAATGACAGATGTTGCTTCAAAGTAAATGCGTCAGTGAATTGCAGGATTCTGTCAATGCTCCCCCATGCACTCTCAGGTTTCTTTACCATTTCCATGCTCACAGATATTAGGCGGATTTTCACTCCCAAAAGCCAGTACCTGCTGCCCTCAAACCACCAGAAATATTTTAGGGGACCCTGAGTGTACATTCTGACAGTACCCCTGAACCAATGGCAGATGTGTAAACCAGGATTTCTCAACCTCGGCACTATTGACACTTGGGGACAGATAGTTATTTATTGGGGAAGGAGGAGACTATCCAGTGTGTTGTAGGATTTGTAGAATTTTCAGCAGCGTCCTTGACTTCTCCCGCTGGGGTATCACACTTCCCCTAGTGTGACAACCAAAAACGTTTCCACATATCATCAAATGTTCCCTGGAGGGTGAATCCTGCCAGGTTGAGAACCATGGCTGTAGACATATGAATACTGCAGCCCCGTTGTCCCTAACTGGACCATTCTGAGTTATGACCAACGTTGGCTTCACAGGGCTCCTGAGGGATTCCTTCTGTAGAACTTGGCTTGCTACTCTCGCTTAACCTCCTTCCTTTCTGCTCAGTTCCCAGTCCCCTGAATAGTTCTCCCTGGGACCATTTCCCAGTAGTCACACAAATCCTCATCTCAGTATCTGCTCCTGAGGATGCCAACCTCAATAGTAAGGCAGACTCTGTAACAACTGAGATGCTAGCTAAATGGTCACAGAGTTAGATGACACTATTCTGAATACCTTTGCTGACCCTTTTACTGTTCTCCACCTTCTACCTTTACTTGAAGTAAAGGGGAAAAAAAGTGTCAGTTCCTACTTGGTGTACTTAATAAAAGGGGGATGGTGGTAAATACTTGTAATTCTGAAATTCTGACACATTTTTTCTGGGCATTGACATCCTGATGCGCTTGCTTTCCCTCTTTCTCTCTGTCTCTGTCTCTGTGTCTCTCTCTCTCTCTCTCTCTCTCTCTCTCTCTCTCTCTCTCTCTCTCTCTCTCTAATTTACAAGCATGGGAGCAAGCTCCCTTTTGTTTTCATCATTTCATTCCTTCAAAGCAACAAGGGGAGCTTTCTCTGGCCTCTGTTGTCTCCCAGCTACCATCTTGAACTTTACTCTCCAGTCATTCACCAGCCTGATCTTCACCCCACCTTCCTTGGAGTGCTACGGGCATTCTCTGGTCTTTTCCTCTTAGCTTACCTACTTTTACTCTCAATGCCTTATCTAATATTCATTAACTCTCTATGTAACATGTCTTAAAACCTTTACTTGTTATCATTTCTATTACTTGTTCCAATAAGGATAAGAGAAAGAAAATATAGGAAGCCTGAGAAAGTCTGAATCATCTTAGGTAGTTTGAGGTATCAAATTTATTCACACATCTTTTAGGAGGAGAAAATGAATCAGAAGCTAAACCAGGCCAATGTCAATCTGAGACTGTCCTAAAGGAGGAAGCAGCAGTGCGAGCATACCTTTCCTCCAGCTGCAGCTTTTCCCTAAATCCCTGTTTACTACTCAAGACTTTACAGTGATATCTTGAACACCACTAATCTGGTGCCTTTGATTTTACAAGTGGCCTTGGGACACATCTCAAAATGAAGACAAAAATGATCCCTTTCTGATGACCCTGCTAAGCCAATGAATAAAATCAATAAAAACGCAATTAATTTGGATTCATTTGGACTGAAGAATCAGAAGACAAAATAAGGAAGCATATTTGCCAGGGTATGTGATGTAGCTTTTGGCCAGAAATCCTGCTTCCGAAAGCATCCACCTCAGATCTAGCGGCAGTGATAAACTCCCTGTGTCTTATACATCCATAAATCCTTGTACCAACCAAGATTTCAATGGTCTCTTCTCTTCAACCCACATATAAAGCACTCCAGACACTAATTTAGAATATTAGTTAATCTCAGAAAATTTTATTGAGACTCAGCAGATATTATTTCACAACCTGTATAACTTAAAAAACAAAAACAAAAACCCGGACTATCCACTTCAAAGAGATTCCTCTTAGTGTGACCTTTTCCAAAGAAAATGTAATAAATTGCCCACTTTCCAAAATAATGATGCATTAGGAGGAGCTAACTTAGACTAGAAAAAACATCACAACTACATATGGCCAAATATAAATGGGAATTTGTAAAGTATTTTTTGAAGATAGATAAAATATATGAACATTGATTTTTAAAGGCAAGTGTATATTATATTGTAAAACTATCAATGGTGTTTTAAAAGGACTACAACGCAACTTAATATTCTACAGTGGAAGTACTAGCAACTAGATGTTGACATTAAAGGGGATTGCATGACTGTAAGAAGAGAGCATTGAGGGAGCTGATGGATGCAGTGACAGGTGGAGCTGATGAAACAGAAGGAAAGATATGGAGCCCAAGAAAGAAGAAATTAAGAAGGGAGAGGGCAATACAAGCATGGAGATGCTTCATCGGAGGTACATGGGAGAGGAATAAAGCCCACAAGAATATCCTAAGTCCAATAAAATGGGCAAGAGAAGAACATACCCCCTCTGCTTTCACAGAGAAAGCAGAAGCCATGTCAAAGGCATGAGAAAGGAACAAAGGTCGAACGAAAGGTGAGTGTGGAGAAGGACCTAAGTGACCAAAGAAGGGCTGTACTTGGAAGCATGATTTAGCTTTTGAGCCATCCAGGAAACCTTATGAAATTTGCTCTCTCAATTCCCAAAGGGATTGGATCTCTCTAAGCATGTTGAACCCAGTGATCACAGAGATAGACATAGTACCCCCAAGAGAAGCCAGAGAATGAGGAAGATCCTGGGACATAACTCCTGTTATGGATGGAATGTTTGTGTCCCCCTATAGTTCATATATTAAAACCCCACCCCCTAATATGATGATACTAGAAGTAGGGTCTTTGGGAAGTAGTTAGGATTAAATGAGATCATGAGGAAAGAGCCTTCATGAAGGGGATTAGTGTCCTCATAAGAGTCCTGAGAGAGCTTGCTCCTTCTCTCCACCATGTGAGGACACGGTGAAAAGACTGCTGTCTATGAGCCAGGAAGCAGGCCCTCACCACACACTGAATCTTCCAGAGCCTTGATCTTGGACTTCCCAACCTCCTGAACTATGAAGAAGTCCATGTTTGTTGCTTAAGTCACCAGTTTATGGTATTTTGGTCTAGCAACCTGAGAGACTAAGACTGTACTGTACTGTACTGTAAAAAAGGCTATTAGAAACATAACCTGTGTTTTATTGTTAGGGTGGAAGTCAAATGGGACCCTAGATATGAGAGACCACGATAACCCCAGCAAGAATTCGTTGTGATGCACAAATACTGAACAGACTTCATTGACTTAGGAAATAAGCATTTACTGAGCTCATCTCTGTTCCAGTCCCTGAGCTGGATCTGGGTCACAGAGGTGGGGGAACAGGGCCCCAGTCCTAGAAACTGAGCTCATAATTCCCAACATTGTAGATGGCAGTGAGCATTCCTGGATAGAGCAGCTTGTTTCATGGTAAGTGGCCTAGATGAAGAGATTACTTTGTATTTATTATTAGAAATTAAATGGATCAAGCTTAAGATAAATCTCAAAAATACTTAGGTCCTCAGATTTGTAGTAACCTAAATGGGGTATAAATTCATATTTTGTGAATAACAGTTCTCAAGATTTCATGTTTTTATATAAGTTCTAATATTAAATATGCATAATTAGAAAAGTACTGTGCATTTTTATTCCAAACTATATCTGAATCCAGTTTATTTCTGGTGGCAGAATCAAGCACTGTTCCCTTATGAAAGGTAACTACACCACATGAGTTCCTCAATACGCCAGAAGGAAAACTCAGATAAACTAAACAAAAAATTCAGAAAACTGCAGTGAACGGATTTCACAGTTTAATGTATAGAATGGATCCAGAACCATTATCACATGATCCTGAATTATTATGTGAGGAAAATAATTAATCATTTTAGCCCCTTATGTATCACCATCCTTTTCTACAGTACAGTCATCTCCCCAAAAGTGACTATAAAACCATACTGTGTCACTCCATATTTATTCTTCCTCATTTACTTCCATATCACATTCCTTCAGTTTACAAATAGAAAAATTATTTTCTGAAAGTCTTTGCACTGCCAGCTCCAGCTGAAAACCGGAAAACACACACACACACACACACACACACACACACACACACACAAAATATACTTCCTGTCTTTCATATTATCTGCAGCTAGAGGACTGAAAACATCAGTTTGCATTTTTGCTACAGATGCTTAAAGAAAGCTTTTTCTTCCACAGATTTCCTGGCTCAAACTCGCTGATAAAACCAAAACTGTATTTTATCAGGAGGATCAAGATGCAGGGAGAAGTGCCCTGTTTTCTTCTGTCATTCATTCAACATGTATTTATTAGGTACAGTATAAAGAGCTGTGCTGGGTACATTAAAGTACAGCAATGAATGACACACAAGCCTTAATGTTCCAATGAGAGGAAAAGGCAAGAAAACAGATTATGAATGAAAGGGACAGGAAAGGATCTACTGCCATAGGAACACAAGGGAGCAACGTCTGCTTTGGTATAAGGGCGGTCTTCACATAGGAAATGATGTCTAGGTTGCTGTTTGAAGGACAAGAAAGAATTATTCAGACACCTAGTGAAAGTATGTGAAGAGCACGGGTGGAGAGAGAATGAAATAGGAAATGAATGAAAGGTATAGGAACAAGGGCCACAACTCAAAAGTTCTTGGAATACAGGTTAACGACTTCTGACCTTGATTGAAGGCAATGAGGGGATGTGTTTGATAGATGAAAAAAAAAAAAAAAAAACCACATACTCTATTCTACTATGTTTGTGTGGTTGCCAATAACAGTGACTTTAAAGCAAATTACCTTTTCCTAAGCTGCACATGGCCAATGTATCTGGGATCCATTCTCTTTTTCTTGTTTTTCTTTCTCCTATTCTTCCTGAAGAGGGCATGAAGCATGACGCCACAATGATAGATGAATGAGCAAACAAGGAGTTCTTAAGAAACGCTTTCTGGTAGTGTTAATTAGGAACATAAACTATTATAATGCTTCTTTCATGATACCAATATAAAATTTCACGTCAAAAATCATTACATCCGTGTATGTATATAATATTGAAGGAAAGATGGACACGTGGGAATATGTGAGAAGAGTGAATAATAATTCAAGAAGCAAAATCCCAGAATGTACTGAGAATTTTCAAGTATGTCATAGAAGACAAAGAGGCTGTTTTAGTTTTGGAAGGCATAGATATGATTTTTAGCATCAATGTAATAATATTGACTG
This sequence comes from Homo sapiens, assembly GCF_000001405.40. Classification (NCBI taxonomy): domain Eukaryota; kingdom Metazoa; phylum Chordata; class Mammalia; order Primates; family Hominidae; genus Homo; species Homo sapiens. Next base: position 83,790,758 of record NC_000004.12, on the reverse strand, counting down.
ATGACAAACAGAAAGCAGAGTTACTCAATTTTTATTTTGCTTTTATCTTCTATGTCAAGGAGAATAATTGATTGGGAAAAGTAGAGCAAATATTGGAATGAGAGAATTGAAGGCCATGACAAATGGCGAGAACAACAGACAGCCTTGTTCTAAATGTGCTCAAGTTTCTGTCAGCCATTATTAGAGGCCTCTGAGAAACTGTGTGGAAAATAGGCACAGTGCTGGATGGTGAGGAAAGTATGATATCTCAACTTTCAAAAAGGGAAGGGCAGCAGGTGCCCCAAACCATACATCAGGAGTTAACAACTCTGCCTGTGTGTCTCTGGCCCCACCCCGCTCTATGGAATCATGAGCTCCAAGGCTGAAATGCAAGCATCTAGATTTCTTAAAACTTTTCACGGGTAATTCTGATGCAAAGCCAGAGCTGAAACTCTGCTGTAAATCTATAAGCTTGAAGTCAACTTCAGCCAAATTTTAGAACTTATTATTGTTTGTTGGAGACATCAGTTTGTGAGCACATAAAGAGGAAACATGATTGTTAAGAGTCAACATGAGTTTATGAATAGCAACCCATTCCAGACAAATTTCATTTTAATTTTAATTGTGAGGAGTTTGTATATTAGCATCTTCCAAACCTCTTACACAGAACACTAGTTCTATCAGACATTAATAGCTATTGTGAGAACAAAGTATACCATGTTAAATAACTTTGGGAGTTTCTGACTTTAACAAAATTAAACTGATTTATTTGTTAGGTATTCTTGGATTCTTTAATAAGATAATACGTATTGGCCTCTTGGATGGATTTAATATGGAGTTTTTCCCAGATGCTTTTTTTTTTTTTTTTTGAGACAGAGTCTGGCTCTTTACCCAGGCTGCAGTGCAGTGGCATGATCTTGACTCACTGCAACCTCTGCCTCCCAGATTCAAGCAATTCTCATGCCTCAGCCACCCAGATAGCTGGTATTACAGGCATGTGCCACCAGGCCTGGCTAATTTTTGTATTTTTAGTGGAGACGGGGTTTCACCATGTCGGCCAGGCTGGTCTCAAACTCCTGACCTCAAGTTATCTGCCCTGCTCAGCCTCCCAAATTGCTGGGATTACACAGCACCTGGCCTACCCAGCCTCTTTCCTAGGACCAGTGTCTTTTGGAACATCTACTACAAAAAAGATTATTTTGGTTAAACCAATGCATTTGACAAAGCATTTCATGCAATTTTTGCAAGAAATATAGATAAATATTGGCTATTAGTTGTATATATAGTTTATATTTTGTAGAATGACAGTACTATTTATGTAGGGTTGTATATATCATGCATATCAAGTTTTCAAAGTTTCAGAGTTGGAATATAGAGAGAAAAAGTAGGATGTTGAATGACAGGGTTATGATTTGAAATCACTGCATCTAAACAGAATGAGCAACATATAATTAGATGAAATCCAATAGTGAAAAACTATTGTACAAATCTCAGCCCATGAGAAAAAGAATCAGTTGTATTGACTATAAACTCAATATAAGTTAACAAAAAATGTAAACAAAGCATTAGTATACATTAAGAAAAACTGTTCATTAAAATAAGTTTATATTTTAAACTTATTTTAATGCTGATTATTACCAAAATCAGACCAGAAGTAATGTGTTTAACATTGCCACCCTTGAAAGTAGACATCATTTACCAAGAATTCACCTAGAGAGGAGCACACCAGAATGACTGGAATCTCAAATGCAGTAAACATGAAGAAGAGTTGCAAGAATGAAGATAAAAAAGAAAAGAGTGGGTATTGCGAGTTCATGATAACTATGTTTAAATAAAAAGAGAAATTGATCCATTTGCCATTGGACATTTTTAATACTGATGAGTAGTTAATAAGTAGTATTTGCACTCAGCACAAGAAGAAATGGATAACGGTTAACCTGTCCAAAAATTTAGTAAGTTTCTTCTCCACTAAAAGTGTTTAAGCAGGGGCTGGTATACCACTTACCAAAAATGTTAGAAAATGTTGCACTATATTTTCTCAGTTTTCTCATCTGCAACAAGAAGAATTTGAACTATAAAATTATTTCCTTTCAGTAATATAATTTTGGTCCTATCAATGTTAATGAGGAATTTCTTTATCTGTGATCTGAACATCACAGTTTGCTATTTCCTTCATTCACAAGCCCTTATAAAATGCTTACTATACACCAGGTACTGTGATAATCACTGGGCATCATGAAAGAATAAGACATGCCTCCTGATCATGTAATTATAATCGAATCATTTTAAAAGAGTGATGAGAACTCAAAAGAAAGAGGGGTTTTTAATCGATCATTTCATTGAAGACTCGATTATTGTAAATAGGTTAGAACGGCTTTTTAAAGAAGGCATTTGCACCAGACCTTTTATTAATCAATGTATGTTACTTGCTTTCTAAAACTTGACATAAAGTTGTTTTCTTACATCAATTAAGACTTAATACTTCATAAGCCTTGACACTTTAATTTCTACTATTTTTTGGCTAATATCTTTCATCTCTCTCTCCCTTTCTCTTCATGTTTACCTATTTGCCTTTGACAAACCTATTAAATTTGCCTTTTTTCCACTCCCCTTTCCTATCACTAGCTTCACTAGATATTTGCCTGGATTCTTTTAACAGGCTCCTCACCACTTTTTCCCATTCCCAAGACAATACTTCCTTCCACTCCCCAGCTCCCACCCCCATGTCTCATCATAAATGGCCATCATGAATATCATGCCAGACTCATCCTTTTAAAGTTCTTCTATTCCCCTTTCAAGTCAATTGTGATTAATCTCTCTTTTCTAACAGATCAAATAAATCCCCCTTCTTGGGTTTCACGTTTGATTATATTAGGTTACTCTTTATTTTTCACTCTCCCTCAATACCTATCTTCCAAGTCAGCTCTTTGCTGTCTCTTTCATGAACAATATTCACTCCAATTCACAAAATTTTGTTCCTATTCTCCTTACCTGGAATAGTTTATTCTCCATCCTTCCCCAGTTCTTCCTCACAAGATTCTAGCCGCATTTTAAAATATAGCTTAAATACTACCTCCTTCTCTAGACTCTCATGATGTGAAGTAGTTCACTAGTGAAATCTCACTTGATAGTTTCATATATATTAGTTATATCTTCCCTGAGTTATAAACTTCTTGAGAACAAGAGTACTTTCTGTAACCCCAGGAGAGTCTTATGCCCATAACAAGCATGAATAAATACTTCTTGGCTAATCGTTTTTATTTTGAGAACAACCACCACCAAATGAAAAAAAAAATCTATCACATCTCATGCTTGACTAAAGAATGGACTAGTGGAGTAATTGTACAGGGTAACATCCTATAAGATGTATTGAATTATCACTGGGGTATCAGAGACATTTGTGGAGATATGACAAAGAGGAAATAATGAACTTAGTACAACTCTTCTCGGGAAGAATATTTTATGTCCTTGGAAGAAATGCTGATTAAACCCTCCACAGGGCATCCTTGTCCTTGGGACATGAGACGGGCCTACACTTCCTTCCAAGGTCTCAAAGTCAAGTGACCAGCCAGGCTACAGCAGTTAGAGAAGCCACCAGCAGTCCCCTCTGTCTTTCCACATATGCTCAGGGCTCAGCTTCTCTCTAAAGAAATGTTAAAAATTATTTTACAACTATCAGTTCCCAGGCACATGAACGTTTTAGCCTTCTCTGGGCATTCAAATGTCACCATCTTTTATTAATCAACTCCACAGAGAACTTGAAGTGAGGTTACCTCTTGCCTACCCTCAAACCTATCCCCATGTACAACTTATACAATGTGCTTTTGCATACAATTCATTGAAAAGAGTCCCCAAATATTTCTAGAAACTATGGTAGAGAGAAGAGAGGAGTTGTTGGCAGAGGATCCAGGCTGATGATGTGAACTCAAATCTAGTCTACTTGCACTGCCCTGGAGCATCTTAATTTTCTCGTCTGCCAAATGGGGTGTTTGTTAGCTCCAGAATGTGTATGGAAGGCCTTTGCAAACCTAAAGCACTTATTAATCTGTTTACAGGCAAAGTCAACAAGCATGGGCACTCTGTGGGTGGCCCTTTAGCTCTCGCTAAAAATTCCTTGTCAAAGGGACTGCTTTTGCTCTCTAGAAACTGAGTTATGATTGGATAATTTCTCTCCAATAAAGTACATTTTATGTGTTAATCACATTAGGTTGTTATAACCATTGTCTATTTTCAACTGTAATACCTCTAACTAAGAAATAATGGTGGTAGATTGACCAGTAGATAACCCTTCTTCATTATGAGTAACATCAGAGAGTATATCTTTCACACATTTTTGCTTTATTCAACAATTTTTTGGTATGAGTGACCTTATTCTTTTAATGTTAGGCAGAATTAATTAAAGACACCGTTATTTAATGCTGCAACACGTTTTGCTTAAAAAAATGTATCACTCACCAGTTCATGTTTCATGAATACAATTATCTCTTTTTTGCAGTTGTCATTGTTCCATATTCTTTCTTTATGAGCCACTATTTTTTAAATATAAATTTTAACCTACTGTATAAATGTGAACAGCTGTTGGGCTTGTAGTCCAGAAAGGACTATTCACATCTTCCAGCCAAATTGCAAGTGTCGTGACTGGAAAAGCTATTACTTTTGAGCTCATTATAGTGAAAAGAAAGAAGGTTTTACTCTTAGCAGATGTAAGTTTTGTAGATAAGCCAGGGTTTCATGGCTGGTTGAAATTGTGCAACAACAAACAATTTCAGTTCTATGACCCTCAGAATATTCCATCAACACATGCTGTTGTGGGCTTTTCTACTTCCATTTAGAGGTTTTTTAGTAGAAAAGTTAAGATTATAAATTTTGAAGTCAGGCAGAAGTGAATTCAAATCCTGCCTTCACTTAATTACCTGCTGCGTGACTTTGGACATGTCTGTTAAAGGTCCCACGTTTCGGTTTTCCCACCTGTAAAATGGGAATAATAATTAGCCCATAGACCCTGTTTTGATAAAAAGATTACCAGAATGCCTGGCACATAGTAACTACTCAATAAATGTCCAATTATAGTGTTACTATTTTTAGCTTTTTGTAGGTACCTTCCCTAACTTCCAGTTTTCTTTCTGTAAATGATATGTTTCCATATGGCTCTATATGGGCTATGTTTAAAGCCCATGACAAACATTCCTTTTGGCACCATGTCCATCCTTGGACATCTCTTCTGGAAATCTAGTGTTGGGCCACAGTCAGCTGGAGCAAATGCCATGGTATTTGGGGGGTTTAAAAAAGGACAATACTCAAAAGAAATTAGGAAAAGCTCTGCTAGGTATTCAGTCAAAAAGACAGCAGACCCAACCTATGTAGACCTTTCTCCTTATCTCTCAAAGAGTGATTTTATAATCTCTTAACAGTCTTCATTCATTTGTCCATATTGTAGGATGTGTCCAGTTTAGACATTTTGTTATTTATCTTGTCCAGTAATGTGAAGTGAAGATGAACACAGGCAAAGATTTAAACAATAAAAATAAGAATGCTTGGGTCTACCTGAATATTTTTCCAGAATGTCTGAAACAAATCAAGATATAATATGAGCACCACAGAAAACCTAAAATCACTCTCCAAATGGATGCTGAGGTTGGGTTTGCAAGCTTCCCTCACATGTGTTTCCTACTAACATTGCTAGTTACAAGGTGTGGGTTGTTAGGATAATGGAGGCAAAGACTGAAAGTGCGATATGGAGAAAAGCATGGTCTATGTAAACCCTATCAGAATTTCCTCCTCAGAGCTGGGTTTGAGATGTGAATTGCCTGCTTCATGGTACCAATGGCATCAAGAGGCCTATAAAGTGTCCTAATATATCAGTCAGCCTTGTCTCAGTCATTTCTAGATTATTTTCTTACCCTAAGGAGAGTACAGTCAACAAAATGGACCTCAGAAACAGTAACAATTTCCACTGACAACTGGAGAGAGGGCTGAGGGAGGAAAATGGAACACGGGTGTTTATCGTTCACCCTGTGAACAGAGCCACAGACTGTATTTTTTAAGAAGACACATCAAAAGAAGCTCCGTTGGCTGGACTTTGACTCATTCCTTGATTTGGTTTGTTCCTATACCACACTTTGGCACTCAACTTCTTTCCTGGCTCTCCTTCTTCTTGGACTTCTCTACATCTCCTTTTGTGATTCTGCTCCTCAGCATCGTCACTGTCCTCCAAAGCCCAACATCTTCTTGTCACTGACTTTCAAAGATCTCATCTACCCTCACTACTTCAGACCTCACTCTCTCTAAAGCTTCTTTATATGTCCACATCTGCCCAGTGAGCAAGTCCACTTGGATATATTCCCTAAGCATGTAACTTTGGGTAGTAAAATTAAACATATTAAACATATCCATGTCTTTTCAAACCTGACTCCTCCTACTTCTCTATTCCTGTTCTTCTAAAAATCCTTTTCAAAATCTGGGCATCTCTTGTTTCCTATCCTTTCTTCCTCAATCTCTCAAAATTCCTGGAAGCACCATGAATTACCAGTTATTATTTTGTAATAATTATTTAACTTCTCTCTCCCTTATTTTTATCACCATTATTCTTGTCCAGACCTATGTCCATTCATGGTATGTGAAGCAGTTAGTTGTTTTTCACATACTTTCTGTGGCTCTGTTTTATTTGCCTCCAATCCCTCACAAACTATCCAATCTTTCCAGCTATCGATGTGTAATTTCACTGCTAAAAGTGCCATACAAATAAACCTTTGAAATATTCCATACACCTGACTCCATTCTTTAAGATTCAGTAGAGACTAGGTGGCCTTGGACTATGGCTTTCAACATTTTTTTACCAGCAGAATTTCATTTTGCTCTTTCATGGATGGCTCCTGCCCAAAGCACTGAAATAGAAAGGTCTAAGTGTATCAAAAAGAAAATTGCATGAAAACTTTAAATTGGAGGAGTCAAGTGACAGCTGTAGTCTTATCAAATTCAGCATCTGAATTTATTTGTTGCACTTCACTGAGAACAAAAATGCTGATTCACACTGATCAGAAGCTGCAAAAGGCATACATTTTATATTAGCTCTCTGTTGTAGTTTGTATATTTGTCCCTTCCAAATCTCATGTTGAAATGTGACCCCAATGTTGGAGGTGGGAACAAATGGGAGGTGTTTGGGTCATGGGGGCAGATCCCTTATGAATGCATGGTGCCCTCCTTGCAGTAATGAAGGAGTTCTCACTCCATTAGCTGCCACAAGATCTGATTGTTAAAAAGAGCGTGGCACCTCCCCTGTCTCTCTCTTTCTCCTTGTCTCACCATGTGACATGCCTACTCCCCTTTGGCCCTCTGCCATGAGTAAAAGCTTCTTAAGGCCTCATCAGGAGCCAAGCAGATACTGGTGCCATGCTAGTATGGCCTGCAGAGCCATGAGTCAAATAAACCTCTTTTCCTTATAGATTACCCAGCCTCAGCTATTCCTTTATAGCAATGCAAAGTAGACTACCACACTATCTTAGCAAGTTCATATCACTTTCAGAATACAGACAAAATAACAGCAGAAGTTATATCCTAGGCCTGAACTAAATTAGTAAATTGGTGTCACAAGAGAGAATATAGAAGTGATATTTATTGTGTTATAAGGTGGCAAATACCAAATTTGGGTGTGTACTTTATGTTACAGGTTTTTGTAATGATTCAAATAGATTTTAAAATAAAATTCCATTCAGAATGTCTGAAGTGCTTGTACCCAAGAGTTTTATTAAACAGTGTTTGAAAACCATTCCTTTAGAGAACACTATTTTCTAACCTATTGTTCTTTTTTATCTCTAGCTAAGCAGGACCTTTCCCAACCATCTCCAATGTACCTTTTCAATCTTATCTCCACGAGTCCTCTGTCCACGCCCACATGCCTAAACAAAGGGCCATGCCCTGCTTCTCCTCCCTCCATGCCTCAGAAAACATCAATTCCCACTAACTCCAAAACGTCTTCCCTAACCACTCCAGTCCGCGGTAATCTCTACCTCATCTAAATTCCTGCAGCGTTAGTCAATCACAACCCTCAGACAAATAACTCTATGTGCCTATCACTGGGCTACACAAATGTTAGGTAGCCAAGAAAGGAGGAAGGGAGGAAAAGAGTAAGGGAAACTTCTCTGTGAATCATTGAGAAGAAGAGGGTAGAGGATGAAGTCACAGTAAATGTGTTGACATGAGGGATGTTTTAGTGTAAGAATAATTGGGATTGGAAGAAGAGGGATGAACATGTGGCTGAGCTGCTAGGTTAGATTCCCCCATTCTAGCCCCCCATTTGGGACCTAACGACTCTATAAATGTGTCATTTATTATTAAAATTCTGATATACTAAAAAGTTACTGATCTATTAAAAAGTGAAAGAATGATTGTTTCATATTAATCCATAAATTGCTTTACTCCACCAAAGGATACTGAAATATTTTACTGAAAACACTACTGATTTATCTTAGTTTTTGTATAATAATTTCACATTTAATTTAAATGCAGATGTTAAGCTTTTTCATTGTCATATAGTATTATTTTGTCTGGACACAGAGCAGTAAGGATACTGCTTAGAAATGCCTTCTTTTTTTTTTTTTTTTGAGACGGAGTCTCACCCTGTCACCCAGGCTGGAGTGCAATGGTGCAATCTCGGCTCACTGCAACCTCCGCCTCCCAGGTTCAAGTGATTCAAGTGATTCTTCTGCCTCAGCTGAGTAGCTGGGATTACAGGCATGCACACCATCATGCCCGGCTAATTTTTGTATTTTTAGTAGAGACAGGGTTTCACCATGTTGTTCAGGCTGCTCTCAACTCCTGACATCGTGATCCGCCTGCCTCGGCCTTCCAAAGTGCTGGGATTACAGGCTAATAATGCCTTCTATGTGCTTTTCATATAATAATTCAAACAAATTGACATAGCAATCCTATAAGACAGATATTCTTAGGCCCATTGTACAGACTTAATTGAGGCTTAAGGACATCTAGTCACTTGTTCTAGATCATATAATAAATTATGGCAAAGTCAGCATTCAAAACCATGGGAACCTTGCAACTTCTGCATTGGAATCAGCTTGAGTATTTACTAAACTGCAGATTACTGAGCCCCGCTATGGATTTACAAAAGAACCTCTGGGGAGTGAGTGTAGGAGTCTGTGTTTCTTAGCACTCCAGATCCTGTGGAGACACTTTAATGTTTAATAACCCCTCATTTAACTGACAATGAGTTCTAAAACATTGCCATGTTTAGAGGATGGTGGAAATGGATATAACCATTACTGGTTCCTTAACTTGAGGAAGTCAAGGAATTTTGAGGCAAGGTGTTTAGGCAACTACAACACAGAGGCTGAGTAGTAAAGTATGCTGAGTTGCTTGAGTTTTGTAATTAGATTATAGGTACAACCATCCAACTCTAAGTTTCCAGTAGAAAGTTGCTGCTTTCTCAACTGTAAAATAAGGAAATTGCCTTGGATAATCTCTAAGTTTCCTCCCACACATTACTTGATTTCATGATTCCTAGTTTCTTATGCTGATTTCCAGCTTCTACTTTGCTAAATATCCAGGACAATGGAAGGAAAAGGACTACATATTGATGATCTTTTCTTATGTTATTCAACTTATTTAACAGCCTCCCTTAAATGCTTCACTAGGAACAAAACAGCCTCTCTTGCCTCCTTCAGTATTTACCAAATAGAGAAGAAATGGAAAATGAGAAAAAAAGAAGATTAAAGAAGAAAAAATGACTAGCAAACAGAGGTTTTACCATCTGCTATATTTCATTTTGGTGCATTTATATTTCTGCTGCTAAGCTCAGAAGTCTTTGGGGAATGTGTATATTTTGGACAAATTTTATAATAAAGACTGTAAATAAATCCTAAATGCTGCTAGACCTGGAAGTAGATCATTAAACTTTTATAGAATCGACATAAGCTTGGGATCTGACAAATCTCATTTTAAATGCTGAATATAGCAGCTTCCCAGCAAAGCACAAAGCTGATAGTATACATTTAATCTCTATTAAGGTCTTGCAAACAATACATTTTTAAATAATATTTAAATTCATTGTCACCTTTTTTTGCAAACAAATTACCAGAATTTAAGGTATAGGATTTCAAATTTTGACATGATGCATAAATACAAAGAATATACAAATAACAGGATTCTCTGAATACAGCCAACGTAATAACAAAACTGAATTCCCAAGAGACACCTAGTGTTTTATTTGTGCAAACACCAGCAATCTAACTGGATGGCCAGATTGACACCTGCCACACCCCTTCTCTTTCTCCCTTGGGCAAGGAATGTTCATTCTTTTCCTAAAAGATCATCTCTTCCAATAAGTGTGCTCTTCTTTCTTTGTGTCCTGCCCTCAGTGACACCTCATCCTGTGAAAAATGACTTACAGGTTTTTCATCTTTTGAAACCATTATCACTGACCAGCAGTCCCTGTAGACAGAAGATGGATTGGATTATGAATCCCAACCCTGCTGCAAAACCTATTACTAAAGGAGCCCACCTCACACTCTGCTTCCTTTTCCCACCCCAACTGCTAAGCTCTCGGGCTGGTTAGACAAAAGCTTTGGAACTTGCGTAGCGTACCACAGTCTACTTAGTGTGCAAGACTAAGCCACACTTCCAAGTTCTGCCCCAACCATTCTGCTTGGGAAATTGCCAGAGATGCTTCTTGCACTAACCAGGCCTCTTTGCTATGGAGCTGGGTGTACCAAAATCAAGCATCTGTTGGGTTGATTTGGGTGGTCTTGTCCAGAAACACAAAGGTCTGGAGTCAGAAGTGAAGCAGTTAAAGCAGCCGAGGCATGTTTACTAAGCCATTTGAAGTTGATAGCCCACACGGCCTGGCTTTTTTCTCTATCTTCGTAAACCGCAGTGAATTGATGGAATGACCCGGACTTGATCTTCAGGGCAATATGTCTGATGGCACCGCTGGATTGATAAATTGATTCAAAACTATTACCATGGTGAAAAAGCAATAAGGTCATAAAAATTGCATCAGCTGGCTAAGTAAATCCTGGCATTTCATGACAAGTAATGCAGAAGAATCGCAAGAGGATCTGGGCATGAGGCTGAATGAGTGAGGGAGAAATGACTTTGAAGAGCTCATCATCTCCGATCTATTCTTCCTGCCAGCGATTCATGCCTTCGCATAGTGCCACTTCATTATGGGGAAATAACTGTACACTTCTAGCATATTCCTGGCCTCCCTGGCGGCCCCTGGAGGACCCTTAGCTGGTTAATACCTCATCACGGGCTTCATTGAACACTTTAATCTGCACTTGTGTGATCAATAGAATCCTGGTGTAAATTAAAAGGACAATTTCATGTAATCAAGCCTGTTAATGCTCATTTTGAAAACCATTATTTGTGGAAGGCATTTAGAAGAAAATTACAAAGTGACAGGCTGATGCACTCTGAGATGATTTGAAAGCAGGCCTTTTTTGTGTGACTGTATACCTGCCTTGGGAGCAGGACAGGAGTGAGCATTAGTGAATGCATGGGGGGAAGGGAGGGGAAATGGAGCCAGGAAAGAAGAGAGGAGCATTCCAGCAGGAATATGTGTATGCCCTGCCTGCTTGCTTGCCTTCATGCAGGGAAGAAGAAAATGAAATTTTCCAGTGTTCTATTTCTGTGGCAAATTCAATTACTGTGGGGACTTGTTCAAAGCGGTGTAACTTCCAAGAGGCAGAAATTGAAAACCTTGCAGCTAATGAAATGGCAAATGACTAGGAAGTTCAGACGGGGGCCGTCAGTCAGATCAAACACCTGAAGAAAAATAGCAGCTATCCCCAATGCCTTCTTCAAGCCACTCTCTCATCTTCAGGAGAGAAGAGACCTCTTTCCCCCAACATTTTATCAAGCTGGAATAATATGTTAACAGTCACAAGCTTCCAAAGGCCCCTGTACTACAACACAGCGATGGTGCATGAAGCATGAAATGCAAAATAAAACCCACATGTTGTTTCTCTCCAATTCTGGGATGCATTTTGCATATGACTATGTAATATTTAATTAGATGATTTGCCCTCAAATGTATTTTTTAAGTCTTTGGTAGCTTTTAAAGACTTTCAAAGTCTTTTAATAGCTATATGCACTCACAGACATAATATATGGCAGTATATGACTTGGAAAGATTTTTAAGAATGCTAAAATGGAGCCTCCACTCCTAAAGATTCTTTCCTATTGGTCTCAAGTGGAATCTAGACTTTATACTTTTGAGAAACTCTCCAGGTGATTCTAATTCCCAAGTACTTTATGAGAAGTACTGGACTGTCCCGTGAGCATAAATGCACTAAGTTTTGCCATGGGTACCAGTAACCATACATTCAATAGTTTTTTTTTACATTATTGAAACTTGCATGCCAGTGATATGACCCAGGTAGCATTACATCCCAGCAATACCAGAGATATGAAATTACAAGACCCAAGAAAAAGTGGCTTGTAGGCATGACAAACTGAAATCTAATTGAAATCACTTACCCAGAGCCGGCCATTGCTGGGGCATCACTCATCCAGGCTCAAGAGTATGAAAATTCAATGTCTGTTCTATTCCTTCCTCCATGCTCATCAGAACATTCCAAAAAGGAAAACCATTTCCATTTGTCATGTGACAAGCATTTCCAGTCAACTCTTATTAAGCTGATATTGGCTTATTCAAAATAAGATGCACTTCAGACGACCATTCTCTGGGCAACTAAATTTCCTATAGCTCTTTATTAAAATTGTCAGATAATCTGAGCATAGTTTATTCAAAATATGCTTGCTTTTATTTGATTTTATCAATACTTGCATGTCAAATAAGCATTTTAATGCATTGAGCTATAAATAATGTTTCCCCTTCTCTCTCCAAAAATGACAAAATGCCATCCTCCCTTCCCTTGTTCTGATACACTGGGGCTGACTTGGTTCTTTCTGATTCCTTTTCAGGATGCTCCTCCACCCCTATCTTCACCCAGTCACTTTAAATCATGCTTAATTTGATCTCTTAGAGCTGGGTCAGGCTTAACATTTTCTTGCAAGAGCTAACTACATCCATGTGAATTTGATTTCTCTATGATTTATATTCAACCATTATTTGGGGCCTTAATATTATTTCAGATATATCCAGTATTTTTAATGACTTCTAAAAACATGAATAATTGAATGTGAGGTTTTTCTTCTTTGAACTTTTTGTAAGTTAGATTCTGAAACTCTGACTTCATGAAATGTTCAATAAGACCTCAATATTCAGAGGAAGAGTATCTTCAAGTGCTTTGTTTATCTCCTAAACCTCAGGTGACACTCACTATGGCAGAGTGACTGGGTCTACTCCCTTTTAGATCTAATGACTTACGTAGGTAAGATGGCAGTAACTAAGCAGGAAAGTTGAATTTCTATCCTGAGGTCTACCTCACTTTCAAAATATCAGAATTTGCAAAAAGTTTCAAAGTGGATAATAAAGAGAATGAAGAAAACTAAATCCATCAATGAAATACATAAGGCGGCTACTACATAAACCCCTTATTAAAGTGTCTGTCCAGGCTCAAGAGGCTCAACTAAGGTTTAAGATGTTTGGCGTTCAGGGGAAAAGAAAGTTGGGTCTTTTAGAAACCAGTAGTCGTGAATAAAGTTAAAACTTCACTTCTACGGCCGGGCACGGTGGCTCACGCCTATAATCCCAGCACTTTGGGAGGCCGAGGCGGGAGGATCACAAGGTCAGGAGATCGAGAACATCTTGGCCAACATGGTGAAACCCCGTCTCTACTAAAAATACAAAAATTAGCTGGGCATGGTGGCAGGTGCCTTTACTCCCAGCTACTTGGGAGGATGAGGCAGGAGAATCGCTTGAACCCAGGAGGTGGAGGTTGCAGTGAGCCGAGATCGCGCCACTCATTGCATTCCATCCTGGCGACAGAGAGAGACTCCATCTCAAAAACAAACAAACAAAACTTCACTGCTAGAAAGTGACAGGCTGACTAACACTTCTTTCAAAAACTAACTTAGTTTTTAAACTAAAAACTAAGTTATTGATTTAAAACTAGTTTTAAAATTTAGTTTTTTGGCAGATTTAGCACACACACAAAAGAAAAACCTTAAGCTAAATAAGTGTTAGCTAGGAAAGAGGAATTGAGATGACTGAGGATCTAAAACCATGTTTCTCAACAGGTTTTTTAGAGCTGAAAAGAGAAGCTCTGAGGACCCAGGCACATGAATACCTCACAGGTTTTCTCTTTTAAAGTTAGCCACAAGGAAAAGGATGTGCTGGGAATTTTTGGTGCTGAAAACAATTGGATGGGTCTTAAGTATGTAAAACGAAAAGAAATTGTAGGAGTCCGGAACTCCTCCTCCGGATCTAAAGAGAGAGGAGAACTATAGATAATGTTGTTTCAAAGAAAATTAGTTGTGCGAGAAAGAGATATTAAATGTTTCATTCCAAAAGCCTACATTAAAGAGTAGTGTCTCTAACACCGCCACCAGACAGTCTCATATGCTGTTTCCTCTTCCTGTAACAATCTTTGGCCACTACTCCCACTGCCACTCATCTCCAGCGTCTCCTTCACGGCTCTTCTCAAACATAAAACTTCCTCCAGGAAACTGTCCTTTACAATCCCCTTCACGGGTTCAGGAAGCTCACACGGCACCCCGTGCCTGGCTAGCATTACACTCATTCCACTGACTCCAATCCCAGTTGATTTGCCTCCTCATAGATGATAAATAGTGAGCGCTTGGACTGGCTCTGATTTACACCCCGTGGAGCCCAACACAGTGCCTGACACAAGGCAGGGCCTCTCCAAATTTTTGTTGAATGAATGAAGTCTTCCAGAAGTCAGAATATGTACACAGGTCCAAGGTCTATACACCTACTTCCTAAGAGTTCTATGAGAGCATATTAAAGATTTAATGACAGCCAGAGGCAGTGGTGTGCACCTGTGGTCTCAGCTATTCAGAAGGTCAAGGCAGGAGGATTGCTTGAAGCGGGGAGTTTGAGGCTGTAATGCACTAAGACTGTATGTCTGTGAGTAGTCACTGCCCTCTAGCCTGGGCAAAATAATCAGACGATCCCATCTGTAATTTTTTTTAAAAAAGAGGATTTATTGACAGAAGACATTACTCCACTTAGATGTTTATATTCAATTTACTCTGTCTCAATTATTAATTATATATTATTTGTATATATTACTTGTATATGATACTTGTATATATTATTTGTATATGATAGGTCAAAAAAGGCTATTATGTAATTAAAGCATCTGTTTTTCATTTTAAAAACATCCATAAGCCAGGCACAGTGGTTCACACCTATAATCCTAGCACTTTGGGAGGCCGAGGCAAGTGGATCCCTTGAGCCCAGGTGTTTGAGACCAGCCTGGACAACATAAAGAAACCCATCTCTACCAAAAAAAAAAAAAAAAAAACAAAAAAACAAAAAAACTTAGCCAGACATGCTGGCGTGCACCTATAGTCCCAGCCGCTCAGGAGGCTGAGGTGGGAGGATTGCTTGAGCCCAGGCAGTTGAGGCTGCATTAAGCCATGATCACCCCTACACTCCAGCCCTGCACAACACAGTGAGACCCCATTTCAAAAAAAAAAACAAAAAACTATGAGAAATTGAAATATGTGCCAGTGTTTACTCAATTTTTACACTGGAAAGCCTAAAAATTAGAACTCTCCTCTCAAGCACAAGGTCTCACCATTCATGGTCACAGTTACCCAAATTACCCAGAAGAAAATAATATCTTCCAGAGAATAAGCCTGGATGGGTCAACCCAAAACCACAAACTGATTCGAACTGATAGTTTTTTCCCCATCTTCTTACAAGAGTCTTATTTAGGCATCAGATGCTTTAATATAGAAAATAATCAAGGTCCCATTTAGGTTTTTAAAATGTTTTGCTACAGTGAGATTAAAATAATGCCTCACACATATGGTTATGTCTTAATGCCAGGAGAGTTATTCTATACATTCCTGTTTACTCACAGAAGATTCATCAACATACATACTTTAAATACTTTGACAGCATAAAACTTAGAGAAAAGGGCTTTAGGAAATGATTTTTTTTAATTTTAAAATTAAAAATTAATACACTGTGAAAAGCCCCAACTTACAAGCACATTTTTTCCAAAGATACATTTTTATGTCAACAGTTAGAAATTCAGAATATATTTACCATAGGATATAGGAGTTAGGCCAAATTTATTAACTAATCTTATGCCTAAGATGCTATAGAAATTTTCCTGCCATACAAAACATGTTTCTATTATAATATGTGTTCAGAACTTCATGACATTCTTGATTGGTTGATTCAACAGTTACTCACAACCCCTTTGTGTCTTTCCACCATCTACCACAGACAGTGAAAAAACTAAATACTTGCTTTCCCTGCCTTCCTTTCAGCTAGAATATAGAATTTGTTAGGCTCTCCAGTGTAAAAATTGAGTGAACGTTACATGCCACCATGTGACATGGTTCCAGTCAATAACAGGTAAGCACAAGTCTAGTGGATCTTCTGAGAACTTTACTTCCTTATAACAGGAAGATGCACAGGAGGAAAGCTTCCTCACTGCCACTTCTCCCTTCTTGTTTTGGATTCAGACACGATACCTGAAGCTATGATAACCTTCTTGTGACCAGGAGACAACAAGCAGAAGGCCAAAAATACCCAAGAATGGCAGAGCAGAAGGATGGAAGGAGCTGGGCTTCATTATAACATTGGAGAGTAGCCAGACCAACAACTCCAGCAACCAAATAACTCTGTCTTCTTTTTAAGTGTGTTATTAAATGACTGCATCACAAAAATCAGTGTCAGGTTTTCTGTTATCTGTTACATGCAGCCAAAAGCATTCCTAAGTGAGACAAATGCCAACGTGAAACTCTAGAAATACATGGCTCCTACTGTAGTTGAATTGTGAGTTGCTCATTTCCTTCTGTCTGCTGGACAGTGGCTGTCAGGATTTCTGTTTTCAGAGCCTCCTCTCCATTTGTACCTTCAAATACAGTGGAGTGACAAGGGGAAAGGCAGGCCAAAAGCAGGAAATATTCACATGGGTCCCAAAGGAACTGAAATTAAAAATTTCAAGTACTGGAGATTTCTGCCAGTATAAAATACGTGGGGACCCACACCACCCCAGAGACTCACACATGAGACCCAGAGTAAGTTTTAAGACTACTTCATTTTTTTTCTCACTTTGCAAAAAGTGATTCTCTCAACTCTCTATCCTAATTGTGTTTCTCACCTTTCTTAACCTAATACAAAACTAAATCCAGCCTGTTTTCTTGCCTTCTGGCCCTGAAGCAAGTGCACAGGTATTTTGAAGTTTACTGAGAAATATATCCTGCAGATACTGCAAGGAAGCAGATGGGGGAAAATGTTTCTCATTTAGTATAAAATAGTACAACCTCTCTGGAAAGCAATTAAGCAATATGTATCAAATTTCTTACAAATATAAATATTATATGGCTAGAAACCTTATCAAGGTTGTCACTCAGAATGCTGTGCACCCTTTTAAAATGTTCAATAAACTTTGTAAAAATGTTAGTAATGTAAAACATTCAATAACATAAAAAAAACTTCTTTGCAGCAATCATATTAACAAAAAGTTGGAAACAAAGTTCTAATAATACATGTCCAGTAGTAATCATATTCAAGGCAGCACAGGATGTTCACTCTCTTACTATGAGGCCAACTCTAAGATGGCTCCCAACGATGCCTGGCATTCACCTGCTTGGGTAATTGCCTCCCTTTGAGTGTGGGCTGGATTTAGTAAATAGATTATGACAGAGGTGATGGGCTGTCACTTCCCAGATTAGGTTACAAAAAGTCTTTGCCTTCTGTCTCGGGTGCTCTTTCTCACTGTCTCTCACTGGTTCATTTACTCTGAGAGAAGCCAGCTGCCATGCTGTGAGCTGTCCTGTGGAGAGGCTCAAATGGCAAAGAAGCGAAGTCTCCAACCAATGACAAGTGAGGGCCAGAGGCCTGCCAACAGCCATGAGGATGAGCTCATATGGATCTTCCTGAAGTAGAGCCTTGATAAGACTGCAGCCCTGGTGGATACCTCAAGATTCTAGGGCCAAGATCCTGAGCCAGAGGCACCCAGCTAAGCCCATCCAGGTTCCTGAACCACAGAAACTATGAGATAACAAGTGCTTGTCCTTGTAAGTCACTACATTTTATAATGATTAGTTACACAGCAATAGATAACAATTACACTTGTCATGTATAATAGGGGGACATTTGAAGCAACTTAAATGTCCAGCAGTGGACAAATACTTAAATTACAGTGCATCAGTTCAATGAATATAAGGCAGCCATTAAAAATCATGTTTTGAAGATTTTTTGATGACAAAGAAATGATAATCACACAAATGAGGAAAAAGTTGAAGTACCTGATATCAATATTACCTTAATACCAGGAAATGTTTTCTTCTTTCCTTTTTTAATATTTTTGAAATCTTCTAAAACTAGATGTGTTATAATAAGAGAAAGTATCTTCCTTCATTTTCGTTACTTACACTTTTCCAAAAAAAGATGAAGATCTTTATAGAGAGAAATGGTGAACTTCTGTAAGCATCAGAAAAAAATAGGAGCTGGGACTGATGGTGTGGGTGAGGAACATGAGAGCCCTTTGGGGAAATAAGATGGAATTGTGGCTGACGACCCTACTACCAAGTCCACCTCTCAATCTGTGGGAATCTGTTGTGAGGAAGGAAATGGAAGAAGAAATCACTACCTAATTTCTTCTTCTTCTCTGTTTCTTAATCTCACTACCCCCAGGCTGTACCTTGCACACTGGAGTTGGATCACAGAGGGATAGAGAGCAAGGGTCTAAATGTAAATGGGATCAGCCACAAATTCTCAGATAAAATAGGTAGAGAGGAAAGCCAAGGGATATCAAAGGGCTCCCCAAGTGATTCTAATGCACAGCCAAGGTTGAGAACCACTACCTTAGCCACCCATCGCTTGCTCTTATGTGGCTATAATGAAAGGCTGAGACAAGAACATAGGTCTTTCGGGATAATCCGCCCATGTATACTGCTGATCCTGCAAGTAAACAGAGGGGGGAAAAATTCTTCCCTCTTATTGTAAAATGGTATGACCTTTCTAGAAACCAATTAGGCCACATGGATCAAAATCCTTAAAAATATTAATATCATGCTGTTAAAAATCTGGCTGGGCTTTGGTCTAATGGTGCTCTCACCTCAGTGAACTGAGTGATATGGCATATCCTCTAAATTTAAAAAAAAAAAAAGAAAAAGGCTGAATTTGTAAAATTTCCTAGCTTCATCCCAAAACACAATGCCACCTGATGTCACTTTTTAGCATTGTGCTTTTCTTCTGCCTCATTCAAAATCCTGATACATGTTGAGAGACTTAGGCCCTTTTTTTGTTTCTCTCATTATTTTCCTTTGGTTTGTTTTGCTGTGTTCCCTTAGCAGTATTTTAACCTTGACTAGACGGCTGCTAAGGGGCTGCCTGGAGTGACACCCAGTGGTGATAATGAGGCCTGACGGCAGCTCCTGGCTTCCCAAGGGCAGCTAACTCAAACAGCCTTTCCCATGAATGTCTCCCTCAAAATTCTCTTTCAGAACTTTTTTCCACATTTCCTATAAGTGATGTTTTTATTCCCCAAAGGTACCCATTTTTAGGAATCTAAGCCATTTTTTCTGTTAAAGGATGTTTATTAAGTAGCTGTTGATCAATCATCTATTCTATAGAAGCTTCTAGAAAAAAACTATTGTTAGCAAATGGTCAAGAGTGTTCTTTAAATAAAATAACAGGGTGGGAAGCTTCTTTGACATGAAACAGCCTTATCAAATGCCTTCTATGCTGATACCCTGTCAACGGAAACCAGTCATTGCAGAAGCTCCTTTACTTAGAAACTTTTACAGAGAGGAGCGTAACTACACGCCAAGGTGAACAATGTGCCAGCTGTTCCCACCACCAACAGCAGTGGCGACAGTCACTTGGTACTTCTGAACATCTTTAGGAACCTAACCTATTAATAAACAAATGAATTAACAGGATCCTAGAGAAAGAGTTCAAGCAAACCATGACAAAAAGCAAGTAGTCAAAGTTTCTATCTCTCAAAGTCCCCGGTAGTATTTTACAAAGGTCTTTCCCTCATTTCCAAACGTCCTTCCAGTGATCTTCACTGGCCCCCTCCTTACATGTGAAATCCACATTCAGCTTTCCAAATACTATCTCCATAGTGCCTCAACACATTCTGTTTTTTCTGGCCGGTGAGATAAATAAGTAATTTCAAATTGACCAAAAGAATTTAAGTCATTGAGTATTGTCAGAAATCAGGAGGTAGAGTTGTCATAAATGAGAAAGCCCATGATCTTGAGGGGTAAATATGTGTAGCTTTCTGTAAGGCAAAATCATTTTAAAAAACAGAAATGATATTATTTGAAACTCCTGTATTAAGACCATTCCAACATGGAGTTGTGAGATCAAGTTTTGCCAGTCACTTGGTTATATACTTTAGCCATTTTTGTAATGCCACAAGGTCAGATCAAGGCTTAATGTTGTCTTTTCTAATTAGAGTTCTTAATATAAATGGAGTAGGAACACCCCTCCAGCCCCACGAAAAGAATCAGTAGAGAAATCAGCTTGCTATTGCCAGAACACAACATTAATTAAGACTAAACACCCACCTGAGAACAGAACACCCCCGGAAGTCAGCACACTCAAAGGGTGAGTGGCAGAAGCACTGGAGTCACCGTTGGATTTGAATCCCCATCCACCACCTACTAGGCAGCTGATCTTGAACTAGATATTTAATCCTCCCAATCCTCAACTCACATCCACAAAATGTGGATAATATTAGTTCCCACCTGATCCCATCTGGTTGTTGGGAGGACTAAGTGAGGTAATGTATGTAAACTGCCTAGTAATGCACTTCACGTGTAGTAACTGCTACTA